>NC_000009.12:100493279-100644794 GCF_000001405.40 Homo sapiens
TAACATCTAATGAAGTTTATTTCCTTTTGGCTCTCCGTGAGTGTTAGCTAACTCATAAGATCCCCAAAACTACCTTTCTTTTTAACGGAAGGGTGGTAGAAAAGTCGTATCATTCTGGAAGGCTGCTGGATCTCATTTTGAATCAGAGCCTGAACCTAGTTGTTGCTGCCAGAAGTTGGGAATTTGGGCAGCTCAGGTTCATAGAAAGCAGAGTTTCTCCCACTAGTGTGTATTGTTTCTGAGCTTTGAAATGTTAATGAAATTCTCGAGACAAGTTTTACATTTTGAGAATTGTGGGGCAGATTTGCAACAAGAGCAAAATATTTTGTTCTGAGCAACTCTTGTGAGTACTTCTTTGTGTAAAACATTTCTATTTGGAGAATTCATTTTTGAGGGCCTTAGTAATGGCTCATCCGTTTTACTGAATTTCCATTTTGGTTTCAGGAAGGCAGGTGGGTAATCATCATAATCATTGACAGGTAGTAGAATGTCCTCTTGATGCCTGGTACTGTACAGAATACTTGAAAACAAAGAACATTCAGAAGATGATCCCAAAATAGATTCCTTCTGTATTGGGTTTAAGCTAAGGCAGTGATTCTGTTCTCAAATTTGTTAGAAATCAGCTGGGTGTGGTGGCTCATGCCTCTAATCCTAGCACTTTGGGAGGCTGAGGTGGGCAGATGGCTTGAGCCCAAGAATTCAAGATCAGCCTGGGCAACATGGTGAACCCCATCTCTACAAAAAATACAAAAATTAGCTGGGCATGGTGGTCCACACCTGTGTTCCCCCAGCTACTCAGAAGGCTGAGGCCCAGCTATTTGGGAAGCTAAGGTGGGATAATCGCTTGAGCCCAGGAGGCAGAGGTTGCAGTGAGCCGTGTTCACACCACTGCACTCCAGCCTGGGAAACAGAGTGAGACCTTGTCTCAAAAAAAAAAAAAAAAAAAAAAAAGTAAGGTGTCAGAGCACCAGCAAGTCATGATTCTCTTGATAAATTTTATCATGTGGTCTCTGATGTAGCACAAAATTTTTTAAGACCATTGCTTAGAAATATTTATCTTATTAAATTTACACACAATCATTCTATTGGAATTATGTTTGCATGTATCAATGGTGTGACCAGTGGTGGCTTATATGATAAGGGCTTTTTAAAAAATGTATTCATTTATATACATTATTTTCTATAATGGTAAGTCTGGAAAGAGGAAATCCACAGGCGGTGTGGTGATTTTATGATTCCTCCATCTTACTGTCTTGCTCCTGGTCTTTCTGGTCTGTCATCTTTTGGCTGCTGCAACTTTAGGCAACAGGTTTGCTCTCCAGTCAAGGAAAAAAACAGAGGAAGAATGAAGGAGGAAGGGACAGTGCCTACATATGAACACAGAGCGAGGGAGGCCAAGAAATGTAGGTTATTTAGTTGGGTACTTTGTTTCCCTGAACAAAATTGGAGTTCTCTAAGTAAGAAGGGGAGAATAGATCCAAGGTAGGCAATTAGCAGTGACTGCTGCAACTACAAAACAATTTAAAATGTCCATTCATGAGCTTGTGACATTCATGACCTGACCTGTGTTCTCATGAAACATTGTTGGAATATTTGTATTAGTATTCCTTACCTATTTGTTGAACATACTTTTGCTGCTAGCCAGCAAAATATCTGAAATCATCTGATGTTAGTTGATAGCCAGCAACAAATCTGAAATAATCTCAGATATTGAAGGTTTAAGAAACATAAATGAAAAAACCCCTTAAAAATGAGAAGTTTTTTTTGTTGATTTTTTTTTCGTTTGCAAATGAGAAAATTTCATATTTGATTTTAATGAAGGCACACCCTAGTCCAGGACACCAGTGTTCCTGAGGAACATGGTTTTGGAACCACTGATATTAATATTGTTTGTGTGTACTATGAAATTACTTTCTCTCTGCTTTCACTTACATTGTTTTCCTAGATAAAAACGTTCTCTTTTCTTTCCTGTCTTTTACTATTACTCATATGTTGTGGGCAATTAGAACATTCTATATTTAAAATATCTTTTCCAAATTCTTTATAATGATCCTGTATTAGCTTTATTATGATAAAAAAGCCTTATTAATTTTTCAAGGTCAATACAAGTCTTGTTTTTTCTGACACTGCACCCTATGCCTCAAATCCAGTTTTGTCCCCTGTCTCTTGAACTCCTACAGCAGTCATAGACTGTATGACGCATTTAGCCCCTTAATTATAGACTGTATTGAATTCATCACTAATTGTTGCATATATTAGCAAGATCATCCCGTTACATTTTTTTCCTGTGTGTCCAAAATTCTTAGCATAGTTTTAAGTACCTAGTAGATGCTTAGTAATGGCTTTCTGATGATAAACTAATCACATTTATGCATGAACACACATGAAACTAGCATGGATTTGATAGCAAGATATGCATAAAATAAAATATGACTAATAACCAGAGTAATCAGAATTTCATGACTTTTACCCTTACCTATTAATGATATAGGACCTCTAGCACCCTCATAAATGCCTCCCTCCAAGATTTATTCCGGGAGTCACCAAATTGTGTTTGATGTGTGCCCACTAATGCATTCCACTGCTACATGACACCTGTCTTTTTCTTCCTGTGCTGTTTGCTGCCTCTGCAGTTGCACGTTGGTACCTCCTGTCAGATATCAGAGGTCTGCCTCTTTGCCCGACACTACCATCTCCTTGGTCTTATGCTATCCTGCTAGATACATTGCTGATATTCAGGGACTGTTGATGTGTCCCAGCTCCTTTCTCCCCATGTATTATGTCTTGTGTGAGCATCAAAGCAGAGCTTATCACTTCGTTTTTAGTGAAAATCATTCTTTAGTTTCTTTGTTGTAGCTCCTCTGTCTCTGTTATGAGTTCTTGGAGCTGGGCTGGAGGAGCAAACCAAGTCTTTAGAAGGGACTGTGCTCAGGATCACTTCTCTTGTTCAAGGCTGTGTTTATGCCAAGTTCTTTTTTTTGAGACAGAGTCTTGCTCTTTCACTCAGGCTGGAGTGCAGTGGCACGATCTCCTCACTGCAGCCTCCTCCTCCTGGGTTCAAGTGATCCTCCCACCTCAGCCTCCCAAGTAGCTGGGACTACAGGCATGTACCACCATGCCCAGCTAATTTTTGTATTTTTAGTAGAAACAAGGTTTCATTATGTTGGCCAAGCTGGTCTTGAACTCCTGACCTCAGGTGATCCACCTGGCTCAGCCTCCCAAAGTGCTGGGATTACAGGCGTGAGCCACCAGGCCCAGCCAGTGGGACCAAGCTTTTCTGCCTCACATTAGCAGGGATGATTATTCCCCTAAAGTATTCTGTAGTCCCTCATACAAACATTCCTTGGGGTTACCAAATGTGACTCCTGGTGGCAGGGATGGTTTAGGTTCTAGCTTGCAATCCACTGTACCTGTAAAGTACAACAGGTAAAACATTACAATTCAAGAGTCTCAAAGTAGCAAATCATAACTCAGAGTATTATCTTGCCTCGCAGACAAAATAAAAACTTTACTTATTCTTGTTTTTTATGTCTGGTTGTAATAGAACCCAGTGTGAACTTTAAGCCTACAGAGAAAGGAGAAAAGACAAATGCACTGTATTTCATTAGTCAAATTGTGCAGTTCTTATTTCTGTAGCCCCTAAACTTGATTAAGCTCTTAGTTGAGCAGATATTGTACATTCTTACCCTCTTTTACAGGGCAGTTCTTTATTAATATTTTGTTATCTTCCTTTTGTCTGAAGATGTGTCTTTGATAGTAATTGGAACCAGACCTTGTCCAAGTTCCTAGCAGAAGTGTGGGTAGATAGGGGGAAAATCCCTATACCTAGGATTGAGCCTCAAGAGCTAAAGCAAGGTCAAGGGGGAAAGGGAAGAGACAGCAAAAATGGGGAGGTAAGGAGAACCAAGGACATAAAGCTTCCACAGCCAGGGTGATGAGGAATGAAAAGATGGCCTTCTCTACCTGGAATAGTTTGTGAAACAGTAAGAATAACAAAATGCTTGTGTTAGCTTTCTCTTGCTTTAAGTTTCCACTCATGTCTTTTTTTTTTTTTTTTTTTTTTTTGGTGAGTGCTTGAGCTTTAATCCAGTTCTGTGCACCTGAGATCATTTAAGGAAAATAATTTTTTGTAACCCAGAAATCATTTAAGAAAGATAATTTTTTTGTAACCCACCTAGATGTGATCTTGCCCTTGTGCAGTACTTAGTTGACAGTGACTACTCAAGTAGGTACTGTTGACTGTCAACTCCTTAGGGATTCAGGTACTTGATTGCCAGCTCCTCGGAGGGTGAGCTAGGAGTAGGAGACCCAAGACACCACTGCAGAGCAGTGGGAATAAATGGGGTAGAGAGAGGTAATGAAATATCACTAGGACAGTTGTCACCGGACATAGAATTCCCTTGACTTAGTTTACTGAGTCCTGCTTTGAAATCTAGAAATAGAAAACAACCAGGAATGGGGATAACTGGAGAAATGCTCCCTTAGATCTCTTTGCCGGGACCTCATCATGATCTAGAGATACAGGAGTCCTTGCTCTTTTCCCAGAGAGTCTTAGCTTTTGAGCAGCAGAATCAGGAGTTAATCTAGGACTCTCTCTGCTCCCAGACTCATGTATTCACCACTACACTGGGATGGTTTTTTTTTTTTTAAACAGTCATTTGTTTATTGTTTGCCTAAGTGCATTTGTTTTTGTAAGCTCTCATTCCCCATACAAAGTATATGAAAATTGCATTGTAGTGATTTTCACCCACTTTCACTGATTGGCAGCTTCAAGCACTAACCTTGAAGCTTAATTTGATGCTTAATGTTGGAGCAGGAGCAATATGACCACAGAATTCTGGTATTGTTGATTGGCTCTGCTTGCTTTGGTAGAGTCAACTTAATTCAGTCCATTAAAAGTTTTAAGTCTAGTAAGATTTTGAATCTCTTTAATTCTGTGTACACAAATGCTCCATATTATTTATTGTATGAAATTCAGATTCACTGTTCTTTTGTAGTTAAAATAGTTTGCCTAGAATGAATAATGATCACCCAAAATTTATTCTGCATACCAAAATAATTAAGATAATTTTTATCTCATTTAATTAATATTACTGTTAATTCTCATTAGCCTTAAAAGTAACTTACTAGAAAAATAACCTAAAATGTTAAATAAGAAATAGTAAGATTGCTACCTTAAGGCCTTAGAAGGCAAAATGGAAAAATTCCACAGATTTACCTTTGGAAATTATGTTAAGTCCTGAAATTTTGAGTTCTATTTTGAGTTACTTTTAGGCTCATTACTATGCAGGATTCTGTTTGGGGAATACTGAGCATTTTGTGTCTTACAGAATTTCTTTTTGTATAGTTATGTCTTATTACACTTCTGAATGGGGGGGCTCAATACATTTTAAGGACTTTTTCATACACACACACACACGCGCACAGACACACACACGTAATAAAAAGCCAAATATATATGTCAAACAATTTTTTTCTTTTGCAGAATTAAATGTGAGGGAGTCTGACGTAAGAGTTTGTGATGAGTCATCATGTAAATATGGAGGAGTCTGTAAAGAAGATGGAGATGGTTTGAAATGTGCATGCCAATTTCAGGTGAGGAAACCCAGCCTATTTTGAAAAGTTTTATATTCTTCGTATTTTATAATTCTAAATTCTTCAAATTAAAAAACCTAAAACACCTTGAACCCCATAAAGAAATTGGGGTCACAGCCCCTCAGTTCTTTTTTGTCAGATGATGCCCTGTTATTTGTATCTTCCATACTGCTTGCATGGAATTGAGAGGACAGATTGACAATAATAGATGTGACAATTCTTTGAAAAAAATGTCAAATTTCTATTTAAATGTAAGGTATAATTGTCACTGAAAGGAAAGAGGTACAGGTTGAACTAGAGTCTCTTATTTTAAATGTTGGCATCTTTTTCCTTTTCTTCTCCTTCTAGTCTGTCTCTTTCCCTTCCATTCTTATTTGTTGCTGTCTCATCTCTTCAGGCCACAGAACTTGACTGACTTGGAGACTCGGGGTAAGTCAAGGTTAGAGCTCGAATAGCAAGTGGAACCTCAAACTAAGAGTGTAAATATTTTTGCTTTTCAGATGCTCTTTTAGTTGTGATTCTGTTGTCTAAAAAAGTAAAACAAGGGAAATAGTTATATTTAATTCTTTCTTTTTATTTTCTGTGGTTAAATGGTAATCAGACTTCAGAATGTTTCTTACAAGATGGTCTCTGATGGTTGATTTGATATGAGGCGAAAAAGGAACTAGAATTTTTTTTCCACTCACAATTTTATTCTAAACGTACCCACCATTTGGGTTTTGAGGGGAAGAAAGGGCACAGAAATCAGAAACGAAAGCATAGGAGAGTTAGTATTTCTGGTAACCCTGTGACCTCAGGCAAATTTCTGTATGAGCTCAGGTAATTTTCTTGGCATCAGTATTCTATCTGAAAAGTGAAGGCACGTTTCCTACCCTTACTTATGATACTGTAAATGAGAATCAAAATTGGAAAGAAAGCTTGCATATGAAACATCTTTGAAAACTGTAAACCATCAGGTGGTTTATTTTAATTAAAAGAAGTGGAGAGTTTAGGTAAAGGAGGAAGGGTATGTAGGTATACTGTTGTCCAGCCAGTTTCTTCATGGTTGAAAGGGGCTTTACATTCAATTACGTAGAATGATAGGAGGGTTTCTCTTGGGCATTTTTATATCAGCCACCTTCTGCCAAGCTTTCTTAGGTAGCTTTTGGCTGGCTTCAGATCCCTGCTGCCTGTTGGCTGGAGACATCATTTCTTTGCCAAGAGCACCTTTCCATAGAGCTCTGCATAGCATGGAAGGTGACTTTAGCCAGAATGAAATGAGAAGTCGGTGATAATTTGAACTGTTTTCCCCCTGAACCTAATGTGTCATTTTTCTCTGACTGCTTTCAAGATTTTTTCCTTACTGTTTTTGACTATTAAGTACTGTGGTATGGTTTTTCTTGAACTTATCATGCTTGGGGTTGGCAGAACTTCTGAAATCTATTTGTTACTCAGTTTAAGAAATATTTTGTCATTATTTCTTAAAATTTTTTTTCTGCTTATTATTTCTTATAATCTGGGACTTCCATGATGTGTTAGACCTTTTGATACTGTCTCAAGGTCCCTGATACTCTGTTCATTTTTTTCCCAAATTTTTTCCTGTTCTTTACATTAGATAATTTTTATTGATCTGTCTTCAGGTTCACTAATCCTTTCTTCTGTCATCTCCATTCTTCCCATCCAGTGAGTTTTTAATTGTAGATTTTTTATGTTTAGAATTTACAGTTTCTGTTTACCTGCTGGGATTTCCTCTTTTCATTCACTGTAAGCATATTTTCCTTGAGCATAGATGTTATTGCCGCTTTAAAATATGTCTGCTAATGTCCATATCTAGGACATCCTCAGGTATTGCCTCTGTTGATTGTTTTCTCATGTGAGAATGGACCATATTTTCCTGTTTCTTCACATTAGAGTAACTTTGAATTTATCCTATACATTGTGAATCATATGTTTTAGAGTGTGTGAGTTTTGTTATGTTCCTTTGAAGATTATTGTTATTTTTGAAACCGTTGGCTGAATTCAAACTGCAGATTCTGCCTTACTTGTGGTGGGCAGCAACACAAGTATCAATTCATTTCTTTTAGCCTCACTGGGGCTACTTGGAGTCTGCCCCATGTGTGGTTTAGGGGTCTGCCAGAAACGTGCTCTGAGTTTATACGCGGAAACTGGGACTCCCCTCGAACTCTCTCCTTTCCGAGATTTCCCTCTCACTTTTTAGTGGCTGTGATTGTCCTCAAGTCTGTTATCTGGTTCATTAAAAGAAAGGTGGTGGGTTTTGTTGTTGAAGATTTAGTCATCCTGTGTGGGGAAGACCGGGGCTGTTCTCCTCTTCAGCTGCTGTGTTTCCTTAGGTTAAATTCCTTGAGGTGGAATTGTTGGGCCAGTGGATACTCATGTGCAGATTAACATTATCACCAATAGCCTCATATCAGATGTCCTGTTTCCCCTCAACCTTTTGATAGTGGATTTTGTTGGTCCTTTTAAATTTACAAATCTGAAAGGCAAAAACAATTTTTATTTGCATTTGATTACTAGAGAAATTGAAAATGTGCTGTATATTTGTTACCATTTTTTTTTGTGAATTAATATTTCATATTCTGTGTCTAGTTTCTGGGGTATTTTCTTTTTCCCTCATGTTGATTTGTAAAGACATGTGTATGCATATATACATACTCTGTGCAATACAATATTGGAATATATATATATTGCTTACTATGCTGAGCATTTGATATTCATTAACTCATAAACTCTCAAGAGAACCTGCTGCTTTGATTTATTTATTTATTTTTATTTATTTATTATTATTTTTTGAGATGGAGCCTCGCTCTGTTGCCAGGCTGGAGTGCAGTGGTGCGATCGTGGCTCACTGCAACCTCCGCCTCCCGGGTTCAAATGATTCTCCTGCCTCAGCCTCCCTAGTAACTGGGACTGCAGGTGCATGCCACCACACCCAGCTAATTTTTGTGTTTTTAGTAGAGACGGGATTTCACCATGTTGGCCAGGATGGTCTCGAACTCTTGACCTCGTGAACCGCCTGCCTTGGCCTCCCAAAGTGCTGGGATTACAGGCATGAGCCACCGCGCCTGGCTACTTTGATTTATTTTTAAAAAGAGTAATGTATGCCCATAGTAAACAACTTGAACAATATAAGAAGATATGTAGCAAAAAAAGCTTCCACTCCAGACTGTCAACTCTTCTCAAAGGCAACATCTGTTACTTCTTGCATTTCCTTCTAGAAGTATTTTGTGTGTATATAAATTTGTTTAATTCCCCTTTTAAATATTAAATCATTTAATAGTATTTATCTTGGAGATTGTTCCTTTCCAGGAACAATAGATTCCAAAGAACTCTATATTTTAAAGAAGTTATCCTAATTTCATTTTTTTGTTTTTCTTTTTAACACTATGTATTTTTAATTGACAAAAATAATTGTATATCTTAGTTTCATTTTCATTTTGTTTATATTTTAGACACAAAGAAATTTCAGATTTTCACCTTATATTTATCTGTCTTTTTTTTTGTTTGAGACGGGGTCTCACTCTGTTGCCTAGGCGGGAGTGCAGTGACACAATCATAGCTTACTGTAGCCTTGACCTCCTGGGCTCAAATGATCTTCCCACCCCAGCCTCCTGAGTAGCTGGGACAGCAGGTGTGCATCACCACACCTGGCTGATTAAAAAAATTTTTTTTTGTAGCGCCAAGACCTCTAGGTTGCCCAGACTGGTCTTGAACTCCTGGGCTCAAGCAGTCTTCCCACCTTGGCGTCCCAAAGTGCTGGGATTACGGGTATGAGCTGCTATGCCCAGCCCTGCTTTTCTTCATTTTTTGAGAAAAGTATTTCCCTGAAACTCTAAGATTATAAAGAAATAGCCTTTTTGACGTTTTAAAAAATATACTTGAACAGCTAGAAAATCCTTCCATGATCTGTCTGAATTCCTTGCATTTTTACCTTGTGGCAAAGCAGGGAAGGAAAATATGTTGGGAGTTGACACCATTAGACATTTATCCAGTGCTTACTTGTGCTGGGTATGAGACTAGATGCTGAGGATGTAAAGATGTTTAAAGACTGGTTCCTTGCCTTGTAGGAGCAAACTGCCTCAGGGCTTACAGTATAGTTTGATCTTGCTGCCGAGTGAACCTTCCTTTGACCATTCTGCCTTCCTTTATAAGATTATAAATCTGTTCAGGGTAGACTTAGGTTATTGCCAGCTTAAAAATAATGACCTGACATGCCCATTAAACCCTTCTCTGCTGGATGCTTTAGCAGTATCTTTCAATTCATTTTAAAAACTTGCTTATGATTCAGCATGCTTTTAGTGCTAAATAGAAGCTTTCTGGGACATTATTTAAATACATTTTAACAGATAACAGGATTTTAAATAAAAATTCAAATTGTTTTTTTTTTTAGTCTGCTAATAAGAGCTATTATCTTGCCACACATATAAACAAAGCCACTTTTGCTAATTTGGTATATAGAAACATGATTAATACTGCATCTTTCCCTGAAAACTTTGTATAGAGTACAGTCTATGACTTTTTTTCCTGTTTTCTTTCTTCATCTTTGTTCTGGCATTCTCTGAACTATGTGTCTTTCTTCCTGTATTTATCAATGTCTGCTCTTGCTAGGTGCCATGCCCTCTTATTAGACCCTTTATTAGTCACAGTTCTCCAGAGAAACAGAAACACACACACACACACACACACACACACACACACACACACACGAATGTGAGAGCGAGCGAGCAATAAGGAATTAGCTCATTTGATTATGGAGGCTGAGAAGTCCTACAGTCCGTCATCTGTATACTAGCCCAGGAAAGCCAGTGGTACAAGTCCCTATCTGAGACTGAAGGCCTGGGCACCAGGAGAAGATCGATGTCCTAGCTTAAGCGGTCAAGCAAAAGGAGAGAAGAATTCTATTCAGTTCTTCAGTGGATTGAATAGTGCCCACTCACACTGGGGAGGGCAGTCTGCTTTACTTGATCCACTGATGCAAATATTAATCTCATCTAGAAATTCCTTCACAGATAAACCCAGAAATGATGTTTAGTCTGGGCACCATGGGGCCCAGTCAAGTTGACATAGAAAATTAATCATCACAACCTTGTTATTATTTTCTACTTGCTGTATTCAGCATAGTTCCTGACACACAGTAGGTACACAATAAATGCTTGAATGGATGCAGTTCCAGAGTCGTACACTGCTCCATCTTTCTAAACTACTTGAAATAGCTGGCAACATCATCACATTCTTCTAGCTAAAGAAAAGGTACAGGGGAGAGTTCTTCCTCCCAACAAGGGTGGCAATATAGAGGAGCAGACTTTAGGTTAGACTTAGAATCCACCATCAGTGCATAAGTCAGAAATCGCATGTTGTTAAAATTGTCCAAATCCCATAATTTGTCCATTAGCATAATTAGAGGCTTCCAGGAGAGACCCATGGAAACTGAGAATGACCAACAGCAGGTCTACTTCTCCCATCTCACACTCACTCCTAGGTATATGCTTGTGAGGGTGAATTTCAGAGACATTAAGTCCTCTGCTCAGTGTCACCAAGTGACAGATGGCAATACACCACTGACTTAACTTGAGTGTGTAGTGGTTAAAATACATCATATGGGAGGAATTGTGGCTCTTCCACTTATTAGTGACTATTGGCAAATACTTACGACTGAGAAATGATACTAGCAATAGCAAAATAGCTAATGTTTATTGAGAATGTACCATGGTCAGATAGAAATGCCAAAGGTAGATTATCTTATTTAATCTTCATAACAACTTTGTTAGGTAGGTAGTATTATAATCACCGTTGTACACCATTGAACATGGTGATGGTGCTAGCCCATAGTCACATGGTTGGTGGGCCCAGGATTTGAATTCAAACATTTTTGGCTTTATAGCCTTAGCTCTAAGCATTCAACCATGTGCTTCACATGGTTTATGATATTTAAGTTAGGACACTTAAAGTTGTAGACTAATGCTTCCTGGATAAAAAATGTGAAGATTCTCAGCCCTATCAGAATTAATGCTTCATTTTAATATTCAGTTTCTTTACTATCCTTAGAAGAAATTCACGGATAAATTAACCTACATAAACACATGATTAAAGAAATGAATTTAATGCATGATTGCAATGTAAAGGAGAAATAAAAGTAATTTATAATAAAATAAATATTTCAGAATGTAAATGCTTAGGTATGATTACCATAGAAGAAAATACAGTCATCAGATGTTTGTGTCTGCTTATGATAAATGTTTGGATTAAAAAAATTAAAAGCAGGTCGGGCGCGGTGGCTCATGCCTGTAATCCCAGCACTTTGGGAGGCCGAGGTGGGCGGATCACGAGGTCAGGAGTTCAAGACCATCCTGGCCAACATGGTGAAACCCCGTCTCTACTAAAAATACAAAAATTGGCTGGGCATGGTGGTGTGTGCCTGTAATCCCAGCTACTTGGGAGGCTGAGGCAGGAGAATTGCATGAACCTGGGAGGCGGAGATAGCAGTGAGCCTAGATTGCACCACTGCACTCCAACCTGGCGACAGACCTAGACCCTGTCTCAAAAAAAAAAAAAAAAAAAAAAAAAAAAAAACAACTAAAAGCAATTTCATACCAGGAGTACATGAAACAAAAATGTAGATGTCTAGTAGATGCTAGAATAAAAACCAATATTAGGATAAGTTATAACAGATCAGACTGATTTGTAGTATTAAGGAAAGTCTTGTCAAAATTCCTACATGAATAGCCAGAGAGACATTCAGAAGTTGTGTGGTACTTGCTTTTGTTGTATGGAACTGTCCTTTCCTTTGCAGTACTTCAGGCATCCTTGGAATCTATCTGGTAAATTACAGTAATGTCCGTCTGTCAATGTGACAACCAAAAATGCCTCCACAGGGACAGCCACCCCTAGGGGGCGATATTGGCACCTTTGTGAACACAACACTACGTTAGAAAGTAAGCATTTGTTGAGGAATGAAGTGGGATTGGAAAGTTCATAGATTTAGCACTTGATATCTTGGAGCTCATAGTAGTTTCCTTGGCTAATTGAGTATTGTATAATTACAAAGTAACATTGACTTATGTAGACATCATACTAGGTATTGTGTAAATTTTAGGGAAAGAGAAGAAAGCAATGTGATCCATGAAAAACTGGAGGAATATATATAATAGGGAGGCTTCCTAAAATAAAAATATAATTTTAAGAAAAGTTGGTGTAAGATTCTGCTGATACTGAATGTATAACAAAGTCGACTAGGTTATAAAATATTTTACTAGAAGTTGTTTTTACCAGTGCTTGACCTGTGGTAGCATGCCATATGTATGCTTCATAAAGTAAATCTGATCACTTTTTAAAAGTAGATAAATGATAAAAGTAAGTCTTGCTCATTGAAGAAAAATAGAGAAATATGGAAAATCTTAAATAGGGAACTGGGAAACCATGAAGACAGGTAATGTGAAAAATTTGTTGACATTTTATTCCAGGACTTATTTTACATGTATTCATTTTTTTCTAAATGGGCTATAAATATACTTTATTTTCTTGCTATATTTTATTTTATATTATCATATTATTTAAAACATTTACAGTTAGCTTTGTGGAATACATAATACGTTTAAAAATAGTACAGAATTCAGGCCAGGCGCAGTGGCTTACGCCTGTAATCCCAGCACTTTGGGAGGCCGAGGCGGGCGGATCACAGGGTCAGGAGATCGAGACCATCCTGGCTAACACAGTGAAACCCCGTCTCTACTAAAAATACAAAAAAAATTAGCCGGACGTGGTGGCGGGCGCCTGTAGTCCCAGCTACTCGGGAGGCTGAGGCAGGAGAATGGCATGAACCCAGGAGGTGGAGCTTCCAGTGAGCCGAGACCATGCCACTGCTCTCCAGCCTAGGCGACAGAGCGAGACTCCATCTCAAAAAAAAAAAAAAAAAAAAAAGTACAGAATTCCCAGAAATTATATATGTGCTTTTTGCCTAACTTTGTTAGCTTTTCTTGTCACACAATATATTTTTTAAAGGTAATTCTTTTTTACAATTACTATTTTTAAACTTCAGCTTTTATTTTAGTTTCAAGGGCTACATGTGTAGGTAGATGGGTTTATTGCTGATCCTGCCACCCAGGTAGTGAGTATAGTACCTAATAGGTAGTTTTTCAGTGCTTGCCTTTCTCCCTCTCTCCCCACTGTAGTAGTGTCCAGTGTCTGTTGTTCCCATCTTTATGTCCATGTGTATCCAATGTTTACCTAACACTAATGAGAGCATGAGGTATTTGGTTTTCTGTTCCTCAGTTAGGATATTGGCCTCCAGCTGCATCCATGTTGCTGCAGAGGACATTATTTCATTCTTTTTTATGGTTGTGTAGTATTCCTTGGTGTATATATACCACATGTTCTTTATCAAATTCACCATTGTTGGGCACCTAGATTGATTCCATGTCTTTGTTATTGTGAATAGTGCTGCGATGAACATATGGGTGCATGTGTCTTTTTGGTAGAATGATTGATTTTCCTTTGGGTACCTACCCAGTAATGAGATTGCTGGGTTGAATGGTAGTTCTGTTTTAAGTTCTTTGAGAAATCTCCAAACTGCTCTCCACAGTGGCTGAGCTAATTTACATTCCCACCTGTGTAGCATTCCCTTTTCTTTGCAGTCCCACAAGCATCTGTTATTTTGACTTTTTAATAATAGCCATTTTGACTCTTGTGAGATGGTGTTTTCTTGTGGTTTTGATTTGCATTTCTCTGGTGGTTAGTGATGTTGAGCATTTTTTCATGTTTATTGGTCACTTGTATGTCTTCTTTTGAGAAGTGTCTGTTCATGTCCTTTGCCCTATTTTTAATGGAATTATTTGCCTTTTGCTTGTTGGATTGTTTAAGTTCAAAAGGTAATTCTTAATGACTGCAATATTAATTTCTTGAACAGTTATACTTCAATTAAACATTGTCTTGTTAGATATTAAGATTTTTAGGTTATTGATATTATAAATTTCTGTTGGAAATGGCTGTAATAAATGTTTGTCTACAAGTTTCTGTCACATTGATTTCTAAATGTGTAATTCTGGATCAAAAACTGTATTCCTTTTTTTAGGATTCTTGAAACATATTCTTTAATTATGTTACCCCAAAGTAGAACCAAAACTGGTGTAGTGGGATGTCCACCTAATTGAATTTTTTAATAGCCAATTTTATAAGTTGGAAATAGCATCTCATCTTAGTGGACAACCCTGATTGCTAGTGAAGATCAATAATATTTTATGCATTAACTGGCCATTTGTAATTTTTCTGTAAACACTTCATGTCTGTCTTTGGTCCCGTTTTTATTAATTTGTATGATCTATTTTTTAAGTAATAATAACTTGTATCATATTGTTATAACATTTTCCCCAGATTTTAAAACTTTAGTCATTTATGATATTTCTAACATGTAGATGTTTTCAGGTTTTCCTACATGCAGGTCCAGTGTCATTTCTCAAACCTGTATTACCTTTTTTCTTCTTCACCTGTCTTATTTCTACTCATCTTTCAGGGCTCAGTTCATATTCCACTTTCTCTGAGGATGCTTTTCTTGAATACTTCAGCTTACAATAATAGGTATTAGGCATCACATGCTTACTGATTTGGTACATGATCTAGCTTTGCAGTATTGGTTTTTTTTCCTACTCGTATGACTCTCTGACAAGATTGTAAGGTTTCCAAGAACAGAGATCATCCTATATTTCTTTGTGTCTTCTGTACCATTTACCTTGGGACTTTGCCTACTAGATGTTTTGAATAATGATTTTTTTCTATTTTTATGATTAGGTTTGAATGAATAAATGAATTTTGATAATAATAAAATGCTATTACATAAGTAGCACTCTTTACATTGTCAATAATTTCCTCTTATTACCTTGGTGGTTTTTCATAGCAAGCAAATGAAGTAGATAGAGATTTTCATTCTCATTTTTTTGGATAGTTGGTAGTTATTTTCCTTATGAATGTGAAAAAAGGTATGAAGAAGTAGCATAATTCTTTTTAAGCCAAAAAAAAAAAAAAACCCCAGACTATTCAGTAGCGAAGTATGTCATAATGCTATGGTATTGCATTCATGAATGTGAAATAAACTATTAATATTCATGCCTAGTTCTGAGAATTTATTTTTGTTGCTTTTGCAGTGCCATACAAATTATATTCCTGTCTGTGGATCAAATGGGGACACTTATCAAAATGAATGCTTTCTCAGAAGGGCTGCTTGTAAGCACCAGAAAGAGATAACAGTAATAGCAAGAGGACCATGCTACTCTGGTATGTATGATATTCTTCTGAATAAATTTTGGAAAATATGGTGGAATCATTTCTAAAAGGGGGTTTTGAGTCAGAGGTATATTTCCACAACTGCTGTGTGGATTGGTGGTGGTTGTTGCGGGGAGTAGGGGAAATCTTTTTTGCCCTCATTTCAGGTTGTTGCTTTTCAACCCCAGGTGGTCTTGTATAGACTTATGTTACTCCTTACTACATTGTTAAGGCTTAACACTCTTTTTATAGGGACTTACTTTCTTTGCATGTCCTTTGCCTTATGATTTGAACAGTAGACAGAATGAGCTTTGAGGTGGGGAATGATAGGGGATCTGTCTTGATGATTTTTTAAAAAGAGGTGAGGAAGGTCGGGTGCGGTGGCTCACGCCTGTAATCCCAGCACTTTGGGAGGCTGAGGCGGGCAGATTACGAGGTCAGGAGATTGAGACCATCCTGGCTAACACAGTGAAACCCCGTCTCTACTAAAAAATACAAAAAATTAGCTGGGTGTGGTGGCGGGCACCTGTAGTCCCAGCTACTCGGGAGGCTGAGGCAGGAGAATGGCGTGAACCCAGGAGGTGGAGCTTGCAGTGAGCCAAGATCGCACCACTGTGCTCCAGCCTGGGCGACAGAGCAAGACTCCATCTCAGAAAAAAAAAAAAAAAAGGTGAGGAATTTCTGTAGAAAGTCATTAGCAGTATCACAGATTGTTGCTTTCCAAGTTTTTTCTCTGCCACCTGTTCATCCCATGCTGTTTGTATTTACTTCATCTTTTTTTTCCTTCCAGAATTGGTAGTGGTTGATTTGGGGAACTATTAATGTTATTTTCTTGTGTTTGTATTAATGTTTGGGGATAGAGATGCCGGTGAGGTAACTTGAATTATTATATCAAGGTTAGTGGTAAAGGTGAAGGCCATTCTTAGGGGATTTCCACTTCCTTTCTTTCCCTATATATTACAGTGTTCAGAAATTCTCCATTTTACTAAATGTGACAATTTTAGGGTCAACTACAAAGTCAAAGGGGACAGTCTCCAAGGCTGTTCTCACTTCTGACACCAGCTGAGATCAAGAGGTTCCCCAGCTAACCCTAGGCTCAGTAATTTGCTAGAAGGGCTAACAGACTCACTGACAGCTGTTATATGCGTGGTTATGAAGGGAGAGGATACATGTTAAAATCAACCAAAGAAAGAGATGCCCAGAAGATTCTGGGAAGGTTCCAAACATGGAGTTGCTGATTTTTCTTTCCCAGTGGAGGCATGGACAGAGTTAACTCCTCCTAGTTACAGTATGTGGCAGTGCACATGGAGTATTGCCAGCCAGGAAAGCTTGCCTGAGCATCAGTGTTCATAGTTTTTTCTTTATGAGACTGCATCTCACTCTGTTCCTCAGGCTGGAGTGCAGTGGCACGATCATGACTCACTGCAGCCTTGACCTCCCAGGCTCAAGGGATCCTCCCACCTCCGTCTCCTGAGTAGCTGGGACTACAGACACATGCCAACATGCCAGGTTCATTTTTTTTTTGTATTTTTTGTAGGGACAGGGTTTTGCCATGTTGCCCAGGCTAGTCTTGAACTTGTGAGCTCAAGCAATTTGCCTGCCTTGGCCTCTCAAAGTGCTGGGATTACAGGTGTGAGCCATTGTACCCTGATATTCATAGTTTTTATTGGGGCTCATTATGTAAGTATAATTTGATGAGTTGGTTGTGTGGTTAATTGAAGACTCTGGGTCCACTAATACTGTGACCTGTAACCCCTACTCTACTCTTCATGATTGGTCTTTCTAGTGTAACCAGCCCCAACCCTAAGACTTAGACGTGGCCCAACCCCCAACACTAAGTTCCAGTGTGGTCAGCACCCTCCCTTAACAAATATCCTTCTATCAGGTATGACGTAGGTTACCTTCCGGAAGCAGAGGGAAAAGACGAGACCTCTCTTGTAGGAAGGCCAAATTCTTTCTATACACACTAAAATAATCACGTGCTTGGAGAAATTATTATGTTTTTAGTCTAGTAGACTATGATTTGGTGTGGTTCTTATATACTTCTTTAAGTACATTGTGTTTCACAAAATGATCTAGAAATTAAAGAGGAATATGGAGGTTCTTTCCAGTCTCAAATTATGTTTCACTTATGAGGAGCATATGTCTAAGACAGCAAGTGTTAACACCTAATGTTAAACATTAGGCAGCAAAGTGGTAGATTGGGAGCACTGTGCTAGGGTTACAAGACCTCGCCTTAACCTAACTCCAACCCTTATTTACTGTGTGACCTTGGACAAATCACTAAGCCTCTCTGAGCCCCAATTCCTTAACTTGTTAAGTGGATATTATCTCCTGGGGTTGTTAAATAAGGATTGAATGAGCAAAGTTATAAGCTGCTATATTGATTTTATTTTCTGAGTGGGCAGTGTTTTATGTTATTTGGTCTTTTGTGGATCCTATTCCTTGAACTAGAAATACTATTCTCTTTTCCTTATTTGAAAACTCTTTTTCTTATGCTTAAGGTTGGTCTTAAGCCTTTTCTCCTCTGTGAAATCTTCCTTCTGTGACATCTCCTGGCAGAGTTTGTTTATACCTTGGGTGTATTTCTATACATATACCATATTGTATTTCATTCATCTGACATAAGTACCTCCAGCCAAATCAGTGCTTTCTCAGTGGGGAGGTACTGTCTTACCTAGGGATGTGTATCGTAATCTCAGGGTGGGACGGAATCGTGTAGGTTGGGGCAATGCGTACCATTTACAAAATATAACATACAGGGAGAATTCTACCTTGTTATCAGAGTAGCCACAGTATTTAATTTATTTAAGGATTCTAAATGACGAAGGTATGAGATTTTTATATTTATTAAAAGTAGACATGGTTTGAAAAAAAGATTGGGAGTAGTATCTTGTGTACTGGGAATATGTCTTATTTATCATTTTATTCCTCGCATTTACCATGGTGCCTGGCACATAATATGTAACCAATCATTGTATGTGGAATCGAAGTAATAAAGGGGTGTTTTCCTAAGAAGAGTTTGGTCATAAAAACAATTTTGAGTTTCCTCCCTCGCTGTCTTTTTTTCTGTTCCATCACTCTTTCATTTCCTCCTTATTTACTCAGAGAAAATGTCATTTTGTGGTTGATTAATCAAAATTGAACATAATTTAAGACTTTCCATAAAATCCCATGAAGATTTTACAATGGGTACTGCATACAATATATATTTTTCTAATTCCTCCTGTTTCTGTGGTATCTGGGAATTTGATTATTGTCCGAAGGAGCTTGAAGGGAAGGGAACAATATTGTTCTGAGTGTTGTTTTCTGCTCTAGAGGACAATTTGGAGAGCTAGCATGGGTTCTTTAGGATCCAGGGTATCCTCTCCCCTGGCAAGTGCTAGATAAAGCATCAAATTCCTCACTTGCTCTCTCTGCTTTTTAAAATGACTCTGTGCTGATGATTTTACATCATTACCCTCTTTTCAACATGTTCTGTGCTAATATGTTGGTTCCTTTAGGATTATAGAATAAATATTTTACATTAATTGTACTTGAGACTGGCTTCTTTCTGGTAACTTTGATGAAGGCTCTTTTTAATTTCACTAGCGACAAGTCAGGTAAGTCCTTCGGATTGGATTTCCTAGAGGAAGTTAATTTTATTAGTAACATGAAAACCTCAAGCCTTTGGTTCCTTGCTTCCTAAACCTTGGGGCTTTTCTTACCTTTTGGCTTTTGGTCTTTATCCGCAGATTTCCTTAAGAAGATTTTTTTTTTTGTAGTAAGACCCAAAGCTCTTTTCCTGCCTTTCTAATAAAAGCAGCTTATTCATTATTTCTCTCAAGCTTTAACAAAAACTAAAATTTTCTCTTATCTTTTAAATGAGTGGATTAAAATTAATTATTTATATTTAGCCTTTTACTTTACAGTATTTATTGTCTTTACTCTGTGCAAAGCATCTGGGTATGTCCTTAATGGGATACAAAGATGTATGAAATATAGATGATTATGTATCTAAGCAATTTATATTTTAAGAGCAGCATAAAATAAGTATGTAAGAATAAATAAGATATCAAAAATATGAGAAAAGGACTCTTTGAGAATGGATATCACAGTTTTATTTTTGATAGGAAATTTTATTATTTGATAAGATGAAATTTCCGGGAAAAATGTTCATATTCATTCTTTGTTTTTCTTCTCAGATAATGGATCTGGATCTGGAGAAGGAGGTAAGTTTCAAGTACCTCTTAAAGGATATTTGCTTTTCTTTCTTTCTTTCTTTCTTTTTCTTTTTTTTTTTTTTTTTAAATCAGCTTTGAGATATAATTCACATACCATATAATTTGCCACTTGAAGTGTACAAATTCAGTGACTTTTAGTAAATTCACAGTTATATATTCATTAGGATATTCAGAGTTATATATTCATCACCACAGTCACTCTTAGAACATTTTAATAACCTCAAAAAGAAACCATGCACTCCTTAGCCATCACTCCTAACCCAACTCTCCCTCTCAGCTCTAGGCATTCTTGTTTCTTGCATTTTTCTCTGGAAGTTTATTGTCATACTAAGGGGAAGATGTTGTAGTTTCTGTTAAATTGAGGTTGCATCATCCCCACAAGTGATTTTAGCTTGGACCAGAGTATTTGTAACTCTTTCCCATACCTTGCTTTCAAGTTTTTGCTCATCAGGAATTTTCATGGTACAGGGTTAAAAACTCCAGAGGGAGTTGTGCATAGAAAAAGGAAGACTTGCCCAACAACTCTCGTGGAATTTAGAGTTTAATTTAAACCTTTAACAATTTCCTATCTATGTTTTTGATTTTATTTTACAAATATATGAATTATTTCTGTTGTTTAAAAGATTAATATTTGGTAATAGCATATAATGGAGTTTAAATGATCAGAATTGAGATTGACTAATCTATATCATAGTCTAATGAGGCTATAATTCTTAATGAGTATGTACTGTATACCAAATAATGTTTGAGATATTATGGGGTACACCAAAGAACACCCACTTCAGTACAATTCACACTTAATGCAAATGGAAACTACAGTTATGATCCTTTCAAAACTGCCTGAAACCTCACTCCATACGTCTACATTTCATAGAATCTTAAAATTTCAGAGTTGGAAGGGACTTTGAAGGTCTCCTGGAGAATAGGAGAACTGTCCTGAGGAGAAATTCAAGGATGACAGTTTCAGCTAAAAAAAAAAAAAATGATTAAAGCTTTCAAACAATAGAATTTGAAGTAGATGGACATGTTCAAGCAGAAGCTTTATAATCAGGTGTGAAGGATCAGATAATAAATTCCAGATCTTAGAGCTGGAACAGATTTTAGGCGATCATGTAGTCTAGCCCCTGTGGTCAGGTATTCAGTTAGGAAACTGTCATTGTCATTGTTCCTATATTAAAGAAGTGAGAGTTGATCTCAAGATTTGCTTATATAATACAATATTGGGCTGGGCGCAGTGGCTCATGCCTAAAATCCCAGAACTTTGGGAAGCTGAGATGGGAGGATCACTTGAGCCCAGGAGTTTGAAACCAGCCTGGGCAACATAGTGAGACCCTGTCTCTACCCCAAAAAAAAAAAAAAAAACAAAAGGCCGGGCACAGTGGCTCATGCCTGTAATCCCAGCACTTTGGGAGGCCGAGGCGGGCGGATCACCTGAGGTCAGGAGTTTGAGACCAGCCTGGCCAATGTGGTGAAACCCCGTCTCTACTAAAAATGCAAAAATTAGCCAGGCGTGGTGGTGGGCGCCTGTAATCCCAGCTACTCAGGAGGCTGAGGTAGGAGAATTGCTTGAACCCAGGAGACAGAGGTTGCAGTGAGCTGAGATTGCGCCACTGCACTCCAGCCTGGGGGACAGAGCGAGACTCCTTCTCAAAAAATAAAAAAATAAAAAAATTTAAAAAAGCCAGGTGTGGTGGTATGTAGTCTCAGCTACTTTGGAGGCTAAAGCGGGAGGATTGCTTGAGCCCAGGAGGTTGAGGCTGCAGTGAGTGGTGATCACGCCATTGCACCCTGTCTCAAACAAAACAAAACAAAAAATGCTGGATATCTTGCCCTGAGGATGTAGGTTGACCATTTTTAAAAAATTTTTTTTTGAGAGCATGAGTTAGAAGGGCTAAGTGGTTTGCCCCAGTTAATATACAGACCTTAGTGAGCTCATGGTAACTGTAGTATTTCTGAATATTATGATGTTTTGGGGCCTCAGAATTACTTAGGATGATAATCCCTGGTATCTGTTTGGGAGTATTCATGAGAGTTTAGGGGAATATTTCTATTTAAGGACAGGCAGACACCAAAAATTAGAAGTTCGGAAGCATTACCAAACAGGCATGGCAGATTTGTGTACCTTTTTTAACACTATCTTTATTATAAGACACCCCCTGAGGCCGGGTGTGGTGGCTCATGCCTGTAATCCCAGCGTTTTGGGAGACTGAGGTGGGCGGATCACAAGGTCAGGAGTTCAAGACCAGCCTGGCCAACATAGTGAAACCCCGTCTCTACTAAAAGTACAAAAATTAGCTGGGCATGGTGGTGTGAACCTGTAATCCTGGCTACTCAGGAGGCTGAGGCAGGAGAATCACTTGAACCCAGGAGGCAGAGGTTCAAGTGATTCTCCAGGCTGAGATTCATCCAGGCTGAGATTGCGCCACTGCATTCCAGCCTGAGACTCCGTCTGAAAAACAAACAAACAAAAAAAAAAGACACTCCCTGAATAGTACTCTTTTTCAAACCAAATTCGAGGGAAATCCCTTGAATGAACTGAAATCCTTAAGTTGATTTCAGAACTGATCTCCCTGGCCAGTTTGAGATTATCAGGATATGATCCACTCTAGTTGAGACCCACAAAGTGTAAGGCCCTTTCAGTGTGGAATGTGAGCTGAGTTTGGGGCTGGAGGTATTTAGTGTTTTTATTTTTTTCTTTTGCGTTGGAGCATAAGAGACCTGCATACTTTTGTATCTGCATATTTTTGGCTGTGCTAAGTGACCAAGTAGAAAAAGAAGAAAAGTCCTTTACAAAGAGACCCTTTTCCATTTTAAAATTTGGAGATAAGTATTTTTTTTTAAACTCTGAAATTAGTTTTTATGTAGTTAGAAAGACAAGTATGAAACTGATGTGAGGAAAAGGTGAGAGTTACATTCTTTTGTGGTCAGGCGCTTATCTGCTGACCAGCTTTGCACAGGCTGATTGCAACAGGAGGGTAATCACAGGACTTAAATGTATTGCTCCTGTCTCTTTTCTTTCTCCCTTATTCAGTGTTATATGGTAATTTTTCTTAAAAAAGCAATTCATTATCAAACCTACTGTGTAGTTCTGCCTACATAGTTTAAGGGATCATTTTTCAGCACCAAAACTTGTTTTCCTCACAAAATATGTTGTACTCAGTACTGGCAACATTTTTGAACTTCAAGCATTGGTAGATTTTGGAAGTGACTGTTTTCAAGAGCTCAGGTACATTTTCCTCAGAAACAGGATAATGACTGCTGAAAACATGAAGCATATCTGGAAAGGATCCCAACTTTTGGTTGTAAATTTGATTTTTCTTTTTAAACAGAAGAGGAAGGGTCAGGGGCAGAAGTTCACAGAAAACACTCCAAGTGTGGACCCTGCAAATATAAAGCTGAGTGTGATGAAGATGCAGAAAATGTTGGGTGAGTTGGTTGAGGGGAAGGGACAAAGTTATTTAGAGATTAATCATCAGTATGATTATATTGTGGAAAGGTATCATTTACCTGGTTCTGTATCTTTTGTGTGTTTTCAAATTTTTTTTTTGTTTAATGCTAGTCTATTGACTTTTAAATTGATATAATACTATGGCTATTTAAATCAGTTTAAGTGTTATAATTTTAGAATGATAATCCATTTATAGTTTTCTGGTTTTATCTATGCTTTTCTTCCTCCCTGTAGTTTTATAGTTTTATGTATTTTATACCAAGTGCTTTTCTCACTCATGTTCAGCCTTCATTAAGGTAGGTTTTGTAGCTGACAGCACTGTCTGTCCAATTTCCCATTCATTCCCTGTAAGAAATGGTGTTCTTTTTTAGAACAGTAAGGCTGCAGACATTTATCAACAGTCATGTTTGATTTTTCCTTTCATCAGTATTCTTATTTATTTCCAATATCATTCTTCTTTCATTTTCCTGTGGTGCTGGCTTTTTGCATATTTGATTCTAAAAGCTTTAATGTTGACTTTAGGACCTGGGAGCATAAATGGATCTTCTTCACTTCCTCAGTTTTCACTTAGTATCTATTTTAAAACATTTATTTCCATAAGATATTTGTGCTTTCTTCCTTACTTGTACATATTTTTGGTGTGTATTTTCCAGTTCCGTATTTATTCAGCCCGTAACTGCATATTCGAGCCTTTCACTGAACAGTAATAATATGATCTAATTAGCATTAATGTCCAAAGTTAGTTTTGCAAATTAAGAACACTCAATTTTCAGTATTATGTACAAAATCAGCTATTTGGATGGCACTTGGTAAAATTGTATTAATTTATTTGGTGCATATTTCAAAGTGGGTGAGAACTGGCAAAAGACAAGTAAGTTCAATAATAAATGAACTCAACAAAACCTGAATTTACTGTTTCTGCATATTGGTCACATAGATTGACCCATGTCCATTCATTTCATTCAGAGTGGTTTGATTTGGAAGAACATGTTTTCCAAAGCAGATACTGGCCTATAGAACAATAGAGAAATGATGAGCAATATGGACTTACAGAGAGAACTGATAATAGATATTATGCTGTTTCTTCCTTTTATTTTGTACTAATGATATGGCATGATGAAACACCTTAATATAGGTATATGTGTCAGTATTTTTCCTTAGTACTCTTCTGTATTAGTGTTCAGAGTCAAAATAGCTGTCAGTGATTGATTGGCTTGATCAATTGGTCTGTTTTTATTCCTTTCGCGGTGCTTCTATTCATCCCTATTTTATACATTTTTCTATTATCATTTTTCATGCCTAAATTTAAAAAGATGGAGGTCTTTTGCTTAGAATTGAAACATATTCCATCTAGTCTCAGAAGTGGCTCCAGATGTGACATCTGCATAATAGGCTGGGTGCAATGGCTCATGTCTGTAATCCCAGTGCTTTGGGAGGCTTAGGTGGGAGGAATGCTTGAGGCTGGGAGTTCTAGACATCTACATGATAAAATACATATCTTTATGTAAACACCTCCTCATAGTGTAATATGTAGCCTATTCCCAATCAGAGCAACTCTGTTGTGTTTACTAAATTAATTTTTTGTGTGTCTATTTATCTGAGAGCTTGCCACCACTATTGTTGCAGATACCAGCTCTAAGCATAAGGAAGTGGACATAGACCATGGAAGGGCTTACCAATAGTAAGGAGCATGCAGGCTCTTACCAGCAGGCTAAGGAGCACATAGACAGTGACAAGCAGCCAACGTCAGGCAAGGAAATTGATGCAACAAGAGGAAAATACGAAGGAAGCAGTTGGTATCTTTATCTAGAAAAAAGTGATTAAGCTAAAGTGTTTGATCCTTCTATGGAAAGAGACAAAAGGAAATGTTGGTAATATCTAATCTTTTAGTCTGTAAAGCACTTGTTACTGATTGCAGTTGTTTTAACAGTGTAAATGTATCTCAGTGGTTATTTTTTTTTAACTTTTAAATGGGCCATGGTACCAAGAAAGTTATATAGTGGTTATGTAACTCCCTCAAAGCACCTTCCATGTGTTTTTCATGGTTGCTAACCAGGTGAATAGTGATGTATCTAAAGGTAATTTTTACCTATCCAGCTGGGCCGTTTAGGTCTGGAAAATGGAAAGCTGCAGAAATATGACATTAGCCATTAAGTCTTGATTTTTATATAAAAACCTATTATTTATTAAGATGTTACATAATTTCCTTATTAAAAGATAAACTTTTAGTTATTAAGAACAAAAGCTCAGTTTAATTCAAGTAGTTCTGTTATGACTTAATTATTATGAACTGCATTGGAATCAGAGTATTAAGGTAGGATCTTAATATTTATCTTCAGGCAGGGCGCAGTGGCTCATGCCTGTAATCTCAATCTCAGCACTTTGGCGGGCAGAGCATGAGGTCAAGAGATCAAGACCATCCTGACCAACATGATGAAAACCCGTCTCTAATAAAAATACAAAAATTAGCTGGGTGTGGTGGCATGCACCTGTAGTCCCAGCTACTCGGGAGGCTGAGGCAGGAGAATTGCTTGAACCTGGTAGGCAGAGGTTTCAGTGAGCCAAGATTGCGCCACTGTACTCCAGCCTGGCGATGGAGTGAGACTCCATCTCAAAAGACTAAATAAATAAATAAATAAATAATAAAAAATTTATCTTCTAGTCTGATCCTCTCACTTCAAAGATGAAATCATTGACGACTAAAGTCAGAGGGTTTGATGTGGGTATATTCTTCTAATTAATAGTACAGTGCTTTTCTTACCATCTGCCTCTTTCTAATTTTCCTTTAAAGAAAAAAATTCCCGGAAGGAATGTTATCTTCTTTTTCCTACTTTGAGGACTGCTGCCCAGTGACTTTTTTTTTTTTTTTTTTTTTTTTTTTTTAACAAAAACACTGCCCTCTTCATCAGCCTGGTCCCAGCTGTGATTTCTTTACTTCTGTATTAAGTCTTGGTCACTCTGAGTACTAGCTGCTTTTAAATTCTGTTAGTTCTTAGCTGGCATCTAGAAATCAAATGCCTATTTATTGAATTTCTTACCAGTGACTTTCAGTCTTTTTTGACTACACTTCATGTAAAAAATACATTTGCATTGTTATCCAGCACTCCTGTTTATATACACATGGTACTAATAAATATTAAGTCAAACAAAATTCTGTGGAATAGTACTTACCTTTATTAAATGCAATGTACTCTAATATTTTCTATCCTACTTTCTTATAAAATACTGGCAGTGAACCACTAAATTGACTTCATAATCCACTAGTGATTATGACCTACAGTTTGAAAAGTATTGCTCTATAGTAAACTATAATAGATGTGTACTGCATGTATTTTTTTAGGTGTAAGTATTCATTTAAAATTTTATTGTATGCCAGCTGTGGTGGCTTACATCTGTAATCTCAGAACCTTTAGAAGGCCAAGGCAGGAGGATTGCTTGAGCCTGGGAGATCTAGGCTGCAGTGAGCCATGATTGCGCCACTGTGCTCCAGCCTGGGTGACACAGCAAGACCCTGTCTCCAAAAACAAATGAACAAACAACCCAGAAAATCAAATGTACTTTGTCTTTTCTCAATTTGAAATGTCTTTCCTGTCAGAAAAAATGTTATCCAACCTATCTGATTTGCAAAGAGCAGCTAAAATCTTTCTCTTGCTTTTAAAAATTCTTTCTCTTGCTAATGGTTGTTAAAAAAATCTGGCATTTTGGTGAGGGGATAAGTGATACCGTGTAAGTTAATTTTCTGCTATTAAGAGAAGTGCTTTTTTTAAATTTAGCCATTTAAATAGAAATTGATTTAAATACATTACATACTTCTTTGCCTTCTTAAACAGAATATACAGAACATGTTTAACATACTCTTACAATTACATATGTAGTATATTACAGTTTTCAGAGCATTTTTTACACATAATATATTTTTAAGCTATTCTGAGCAGTTCTGTTTGGTAGTAGAGCAAGGAAGTATTATCCTGATTTTTATAGGTGAAGGTGAGTTCAGAAAGGCTGAATGGAGAACCAGAACATAGGTCTCATGACAAGGAATCAGTCTATTGTGTTGTGCATGCACATGTAGAGGCCCATGATGTGTGGTTGTTTCACTGCTGCACTTAAGGCTTCATTTAGCTTTGTGTTTTGGGTTCTATATCTGTTTTTTAAAAATGTTTTCTTCTCTCTTGTAAGGCTGTTAGCTGCTGCTTCTAGATGCTGTCAGTGTGCCTTGGCAATGAGTTTGACTGTAGATGCCCTCAATTTTTAATTTGCTTCTCTGCTTCCCTGGAATAGGAAACAAACACTCGCAGAAACTGTATCTAAAGTAAGAATAAGTTCTAAATGTAAAATAAGAGTGTATAGGTTCTTCTGAGTGAAGTGCGTGAACTTTATTCATTGTATGTGTTTTATCTGTCTTGTCTGCTCAATGGCTATTGTAATTCATTTATAATTTAAATTATTTTTGCTTCTAAGAGGCTTCCCCCTCACCCTTCCTTCCTGAAACTCACTGCATTTCTTTGATGGCATCGTGGGCTTTGCTTGGGTTTGTGACAGTTATGTTCGTTAATGCTTACCTTTCAAATTTATACCTAGAGGTGTAGGTGGTTGAGGCTCCAAGAAATATGACTCCCCACATAAGTGGGTTTCAGTATTTCACTGTGACCACTGTGAAACAGTGCATAGACTTCCTACTGGGTCTTAAAACTTGAAAACAGCCTTCCTTTACAGCAACTTGTATTTCTTAAACCACATATTCTTAGTACCACACCCCCTCACTTTCTAAACAGTATTTCTAATCTGTCCAAGGCCGAAGTTATTGTTGTAAGATAGCCATCAGCTGCTTCTCTGGATAGTGGGGACACATAATCATAGGACTCCTTCACTTCAGTACCTTTTATATACCCGACCTAAATCCCTGCCCAGGAATGGTGTGAGGAGTCTGTAGAATCATCAGGCCTAATGCCAATACAGGTGAGTTATAAAAATCCTCCAGTTATTCCTTTTGAACTTTGTCTGCAATGCACTTTATGGAAATAGCCCCTGCTCTTCTGCCTTTTTTATGTCAGTCTCCTTTTTAGAGATGCTGTTTCCATTTATCCCCCTGAGTGATATAAATATCTCAGAGTTGCTCAGAGAATCATACAGGTGCAGGGTATGGCAGACAACATGGATAACCAGTTTAATCCACCTGCTGGACATCTTAGTCATTTGTGGTACCATTTTCTGTTTTGATGCAGATTTCTGGTCAGTACTACAATATGACGAGTCTCTCCCTCAGAAGGTGCAGTGATATCTTTTCTCTTGTGTAAACAGAGTAATGCTACACATTTGTGTCCTGCAATATATCCTCCTTTCTGGAAGCTTCATGTACTTTTTAAAACAAGAACTGAAGAAGTACCTTTTCTATCCTTCTGTTTTTATTTCCTCCTAATCAGAGATGGCAGTAATTTTTGTCATTTAGCACTGCCTTATTCTGGATATTTTAAAACTATTTTTAGGTTTAGTAAGTCCCTACTGTAGCCCCTTAGATTATAATGGAAAAATAATTTTGTGTTGTTTTTTAAAACACAAACATTATTAAGCATTATTTTATCCAAAGTATAATCTGGATGTTAGTAATGACAGGTTCCTTTATCCAGAAATATCTTCTTTTTTTTTTTTTTTTTTTTTTTTTGAGACGGAGTTTTGCTCTGTCGCCCAGGCCGGAGTGGAGTGGCACAATCTTGGCTCACTGCAACTTCCGCCTCCCGGGTTCAAGCAGTTCTCTGCCTCAGCCTCCCAAGGAGCTGGGATTACAGGTACCTGCCACCACGCCTGGCTAATTTTTGTATTTTTAGTAGAGATGGGGTTTCACCATCTTGGCCAGGCTGGTCTTGAACTCCTGATCTCGTGATCCACCTGCCTCGGCCTCCCAAAGTGCTGGGATTACAGGCCTGAGCCACTGCACCTGGCCTTCCAGAAATATCTTTTTGAGACCAAGTCTTGCTCTGTCGCCCAGGCTGGAGTGCAGTGGCATGATCTCGGCTCACTGCAAGCTCCGCCTCTGGGGTTCACGCCATTCTCCTGCCTCAGCCTCTCGAATAGCTGGGACCACAGGTGCCCGCCACCACACCCAGCTAATTTTTTGTATTTTTTTTTAGTAGGGATGGGGTTTCACCGTGTTAACCAGGATGGTCTTGATCTCCTGACTTAGTGATTCGCCCGCCTCAGCTTCCCAAAGTGCTGGGATTGCAGGCGTGGGCTACCACGCCCAGCCCAGAAATACCTTCTTAAAGTCCTTTGACAGTTGCCAGTAAGAGAGTTTTGCCTTTAAAATGCAAAACTCCGTCTCCCCATAATCTCTTGCAATTTTCTGAATGCACTGTTATTATTGAACACTTTCTTACCCACTTTGCCCCTGTTATTCCCTGTGCCTGGAGTCCCATTCCTGTTTATCAGCTTATTTTAACTCCTATTCCTCCTTCTAGCCTTAGATGCCGTGTGACTTAGGTCAGATTCACCACCTCTTCTTATAAGCCTACCTTGCGTTCTCCCACAGTTCCTATGTGACCATATTCTGTGTCCCTCCTTGGTCTTGAAAAAGCAACCTCTGCATAGCACTAAGTAGACTGTGAGCTTCCTGAGGGCAGGGACTTTGTCTTGCTGATTTTTGTCTTGGGTAAACTGCCTATAAGGTTGGGTATCTTAGGATGGACCCTTTTATAGGCCTTTGTTGAATTAGTGGCAATCGACACTAGGCCTTTATTATTCACTTAGAGCTGCTTACAGGGTGGTTGTAAGGATTTAATATGTGTGAAAAAGACTAGCGTTGAATTTGTTGCAGGCTTTATTAGGTGTTTGTTAAATCTCAGTAACTTGACATGAATTAGTTTAAGCCAATGTTTTCCTAACTGCTAAATAAACTTACTATATTGAGAAGAAATGGTACTTTCTATATAGGGTTAAGAAAAAAGGAAGCAAAAGTGTGGATGTTTTTCAGTAATAATACCATTCAGATGTGCACAGTATTTGATAGATTTCAAAGGACTTTTTACAAAATCTTATTTGATCCTGTCAGCAGTGTTTTGAGGTATTATCCCTGTTTTAAAGACTTGGAGTTGTGATTTGCCAAAATTATAGTGCTAAATCATAGAAGGTATTGAATTTATGCATTCATTTATGTATGTATATATGCATTCATGCCTTCGAAATTTAGTGCTGCCAATTCAAAAGCTTAAAAAGGCTCTAGAGTGAAAGGTCTCACTTCCACCCCTGTTCCCAGTCACTCAGTTGCCTTCACTAGAGACAGTCACTGTGATCTGTTTCTTGTTTAATCTCCTGGGGTATTTTATGTATGTGCAAGCAGATATGTACATATATTCTTTTATTTAAAAAAAAAAAACTAATGGCATCACACTATACCCGTAGTTCTGTACCTTATTTAAAATCTTTATTGTAAAATGTATACTGTATACAAAAGTGTTTAAACATACATGTGCAATTTAAGGAATACCTGTTAAAAACTACCTATGTACCTAACACCTAGGGTACAAAATAGAATACTGCTATTATTTCCAGTACCTTGTGTTAACCTAGCCATGGAAGGAAAGGGCAATAGTGCCCACTTAGAGAGGAAGGCTTACGGAAGACACTTTGAACAGCCTCTGTGGCAGGGTCTGGTTTTCAGCTCCTCAGAGAGTTTACAAGGTTCCCTTTTGGGGAAGTCAGTGGACAAAGCCATGAGTATTGGAGTCACAGGGTCATGGAGAACGTAGGCTCACTATAGTTGAGGCATCTGATAGGATTCTAATGTCTGGATCACTGGTAGAAATGTGATCAGAATGGACTGCTCTGCTCTGTGTTGTTTACTTATAATCTCCCCATAGCTCATCTTCAGCTGTCAGGAGTATGTCAATTAACTGAGTGGGTTGAGTTGTTCTTGCAGCAGGACATGGAGGGGAGAGCAGGAACTTCATTATCTTCATTTATTTTTTTTTATTATACTTTAAGTTCTGGGGCACATGTGCACAACGTGCAGATTTGTTACATAGTGCATGTGCCATGATGGTTTGCTGCACCCATCAACTTGTCATTTACATTAGGTATTTCTCCTAATGCTATCCCTCCCCCAGACCCCCACCCCTGGCAGGCCCCGGTGTGTGATGAGGAACTTCATTATCTTATGGTCAAGCCAAGCCAACTGCAGATAAGAATCTGGGCCAGGCTTACCTGGGCAGTCTATCTTCTGACTGAAAGTTGGGTACGGTAGCACTAGGCATCTTAGTAATGATGGCCATCCACACAGCTGTCTATAGAGTTAAACTATTTCATTGTGGACTGATTGCCCTCTACACCTTGTATATAGCTGTCATCCCAGGATCTCCCTTCAGTGTGGTGTCTTTTCCAACAACAATCGATTTTCCAACTCTCTGACACTACCTAGATGTCCAACAATTCAATTAAATTCTGACAGTAACTACTTGGAGTTAGCGCAGACCCACGGTTAAGGACTCAGTCCCATAAGACTGCCCCCGCTTTATAACCAGCTGCAAATGAGGTCCCCAGGCTACCCCCACTTCTGCCCAGATGACCATAAATTTTGGAGTTCCCATGCCCTAGCTAATTTGCTAAAACACAGAACTTGGGAAAGCACTATACTTATTATTTGTAAAGGATACAAATGATCAGCCAGATGAAGAAGTACATAAAGCAAGGTCCAGAAGGGTCCTGAGTGCAGGAGCGTCTGTCCCCATGGAGTCAAGTGCACCACCGAGATGTGCTCCCTCACCGGAAGCTCCCGAACCCCCCGTATTCTGAGTTTTTAAACTGAAGTTTTATTATGTAATCGTGACTGGTTAACTCATTGGTCATTGGTGATTGAACTTAACATCCAACCCCTGTCCCCTTCCCAGAGGTAGAAGAATTGGGGTGGGGCTGGGAGGCAGAAGTTCTAACCCTCTAATCACTGTGGTTGGTTTTTCTGGTGACATTAACTCCCTGCCCCCTCACCCCATGAGTCATCTCACTAGAATATAAGAACTCTCCTATCACTCAAGATATGTCAAGGGAACTCTATACCAGGAACTGGGAACAAAGACCATGAATACTTATTATTATACCACTAGGATCTTCCTAGAAATTCCTTTGTCTCTCTCTCCTATATAGGGTACTGTATTTCTTCTATTTTTGCTTCTAACTTCTTGGTTTTACTCTCCTATTTTATTACTTCTTTTAGCAGCTTCTTATGAAAAGGTGTGAGATTTTAAAAACGTTTGAGACCTTGTTTGAAGTGTTTAGGTATTTTTATTCCACACCTAATATTTTATTCAGAACTTTGCAAGTGCATAATTCGAGCTGTGAGACAAATTTCCCTGAGAATTAAGAAAGTGTTGCTTTGTTGTCTTCTAGCTTCCAGTGTTGCTGTTGAAGTCTAAAGCCATTCTAATTCTTGATCTTTTGTATATGATTTTTTTTCTCTCTTGAAGCATGTAGAGTCTTCTTTTGGTCTCCAGTGTAGTGATATCTCACAATGTTATGCCCTTTCCTAGATACTTACTGACTTCCATTTTGAAAAATTTTCTTTAGTTATTTGATGATTTCCCTTCCTCTTTTTTCTATTTTTGGTACTCCTGTTACGTGAATGTTGACATCCTGGTCTAGTCTCATTTTATCTTTTTTTCCCCTGTTTTCTGTTTTAAGTTTTTTTTGCTGTACTTTTTGAGAAATTTCTTCAACTTTATGAGTTTTTCATTTCTGCTGCAATTTTTAATTTCCAGGAGCTCATTTTTGTTTTCAGAGTACTCATTTTTAGAGCACTTTACTTTTATAAAGATTGCAGTCTGTTTTGGTACATATACGTTATTAGTTGGTATTCTATCTATTGAAAGAGTGAGATTTTCTTTTCTATCAATCATTCAGGACTCATGGATTTTTCTTTTATTCATTTGTAGTCAATGAGTTATAATTGTTCTTTTGTTTAGTTTTTAATGTTATGTGGCCTTTTAAAATGAGTTAGGGAGTGTTTTTTTCTAGTCTCTGGATGACTTTGTGTAAGAGTGAAATTATCTACTTTTGGCCGGGCATGGTGCACATGCCTGTCAATGCTTTGGGAGACCGAGGTGGGCAGATCACCTGAGATCAGGAGTTCAAGACCAGCCTGGGCAACATGGTGAAACCCTGTCTCTGCTAAAAATACAAAAAAAAAAAAAAAAAAAAAAAAAAGGGAAAAAAAAATTAGCCGGGCGTGGTGGCACATAACTGTAATTCCAGCTACTCTGGAGGCTGAGACACAAGAATCTCTCAAACCCGAGAGGCGGAGGTTGCAGTGAGCCAAAATCGCGCCACTGCACTCCAGCCTGGGCGACAGAGTGAAACTCTGTCTTAAAAAAAAAAAACAAAACTACCTACTTTGAAAGATTGGAATGGATGTGTTCATGAATTGTCTTTTTAAAAAATGCCTGGATCCGGAGGGGAGGAGCCAAGATGGCCGAATAGGAACAGCTCCGGTCTACAGCTCCCAGCGTGAGCCACGCAGAACACGGTGATTTCTGCATTTCCATCTGAGGTACCAGGTTCATCTCACTAGGGAGTGCCAGACAGTGGGCACAGGTCAGTGGGTGCGCGCACAGTGCGTGAGCCGAAGCAGGGCGAGGCATTGCCTCACTCGGGAAGTGCAAGGGGTGAGGGATTTCCCTTTCCGAGTCAAAGAAAGGGGTGACAGACGGCACCTGGAAAATCGGGTCACTCCCACCCGAATACTGCGCTTTTCCGACGGGCTTAAAAAACGGCACACCACGAGATTATATCCCGCACCTGGCTCGGGGGGTCCTACACCCATATAGTCTCGCTGATGGCTAGCACAGCAGTCTGAGATCAAACTGCAAGGCGGCAGCGAGGCTGGGGGAGGGGCACCCGCCATTGCCCAGGCTTGCTTACGTAAACAAAGCAGCCGGGAAGCTCGAACTGGGTGGAGCCCACCACAGCTCAAGGAGGCCTGCCTGCCTCTGTAGGCTCCACCTCTGGGGGCAGGGCACAGACAAACAAAAAGACAGCAGTAACCTCTGCAGACTTAAATGTCCCCGTCTGACAGCTTTGACGAGAGCAGTGGTTCTCCCAGCACGCAGCTGGAGATCTGAGAACAGGCAGACTGCCTCCTCAAGTGGCTCCCTGACACCTGACCCCCGAGCAGCCTAACTGGGAGGTACCCCCAAGCAGGGGCACACTGACACCTCACACGGCAGGGTATTCCAACAGACCTGCAGCTGAGCGTCCTGTCTGTTAGAAGGAAAACTAACAAACAGAAAGGACATCCACACCAAAAACCCATCTGTACATCACCATCATCAAAGACCAAAAGTAGATAAAACCACAAAGATGGGGAAAAAACAGAACAGAAAAACTGGAAACTCTAAAAAGCAGAGCGCCTCTCCTCCTCCAAAGGAACACAGTTCCTCACCAGCAACGGAACAAAGCTGGATGGAGAATGACTTTGACGAGCTGAGAGAAGAAGGCTTCAGACGATCAAATTACTCTGAGCTACGGGAGGACATTCAAACCAAAGGCAAACAAGTTGAAAACTTTGAAAAAAATTTAGAAGAATGTATAACTAGAATAACCAATACAGAGAAGTGCTTAAAGGAGCTGATGGGGCTGAAAATCAAGGCTCGAGAACTACGTGAAGAATGCAGAAGCCTCAGGAGCCGATGCGATCAACTGGAAGAAAGGGTATCAGCGATGGAAGATGAAATGAATGAAATGAAGCGAGAAGGGAAGTTTAGAGAAAAAAGAATAAAAAGAAATGAGCAAAGCCTGCAAGAAATATGGGACTATGTGAAAAGACCAAATCTACGTCTGATTGGTGTACCTGAAAGTGATGGGGAGAATGGAACCAAGTTGGAAAACACTCTGCAGGATATTATCCAGGAGAACTTCCCCAATCTAGCAAGGCAGGCCAACGTTCAGATTCAGGAAATACAGAGAACGCCACAAAGATACTCCTCGAGAAGAGCAACTCCAAGACACATAATTGTCAGATTCACCAAAGTTGAAATGAAGGAAAAAATGTTAAGGGCAGCCAGAGAGAAAGGTCGGGTTACCCACAAAGGGAAGCCCATCAGACTAACAGCAGATCTCTCGGCAGAAACCCTACAAGCCAGAAGAGAGTGGGGGCCAATATTCAACATTCTTAAAGAAAAGAATTTTCAACCCAGAATTTCATATCCAGCCAAACTAAGCTTCATAAGTGAAGGAGAAATAAAATACTTTGCAGACAAGCAAATGCTGAGAGATTTTGTCACCACCAGGCCTGCCCTAAAAGAGCTCCTGAAGGAAGCGCTAAACATGGAAAGGAACAACCGGTACCAGCCGCTGCAAAATCATGCCAAAATGTAAAGACCATCAAGACTAGGAAGAAACTGCATCAACTAACGAGCAAAATAACCAGCTAACATCATCATGACAGGATCAAATTCACACATAACAATATTAACTTTAAATGTAAATGGACTAAATGCTCCAATTAAAAGACACAGACTGGCAAATTGGATAAAGAGTCAAGACTCATCAGTGTGCTGTATTCAGGAAACCCATCTCATGTGCAGAGACACACATAGGCTCAAAATAAAAGGATGGAGGAAGATCTACCAAGCAAATGGAAAACAAAAAAAGGCAGGGGTTGCAATCCTAGTCTCTGATAAAACAGACTTTAAACCAACAAAGATCAAAAGAGACAAAGAAGGCCATTACATAATGGTAAAGGGATCAATTCAACAAGAAGAGCTAACTATCCTAAATATATATGCACCCAATACAGGAGCACCCAGATTCATAAAGCAAGTCCTGAGTGACCTACAGAGAGACTTAGACTCCCACACATTAATAATGGGAGACTTTTAACACCCCACTGTCAACAGTAGACAGATCAACGAGACAGAAAGTCAACAAGGATACCCAGGAATTGAACTCAGCTCTGCACCAAGCGGACCTAATAGACATCTACAGAACTCTCCATCCCAAATCAACAGAATATACATTTTTTTCAGCCCCACACCACACCTATTCCAAAATTGACCACATAGTTGGAAGTAAAGCTCTCCTCAGCAAATGTAAAAGAACAGAAATTATAACAAATTATCTCTCAGACCGCAGTGCAATCAAACTAGAACTCAGGATTAAGAATCTCACTCAAAACCGATCAACTACATGGAAACTGAACAACCTGCTCCTGAATGACTACTGGGTACATAACGAAATGAAGGCAGAAATAAAGATGTTCTTTGAAACCAACGAGAACAAAGGCACAACATACCAGAATCTCTGGGACGCATTCAAAGCAGTGTGTAGAGGGAAATTTATAGCACTAAATGCCCACAAGAGAAAGCAGGAAAGATCCAAAATTGACACCCTAACATCACAATTAAAAGAACTAGAAAAGCAAGAGCAAACACATTCAAAAGCTAGCAGAAGGCAAGAAATAACTAAAATCAGAGCAGAACTGAAGGACACAAAAAACCCTTCAAAAAATTAATGAATCCAGGAGCTGGTTTTTTGAAAGGATCAACAAAATTGATAGACTGCTAGCAAGACTAACAAAGAAAAAAAGAGAGAAGAATCAAATAGACGCAATAAAAAATGATAAAGGGGATATCACCACCGATCCCACAGAAATATAAACTACCATCAGAGAATACTACAAACACCTCTACGCAAATAAACTAGAAAATCTAGAAGAAATGGATAAATTCCTCGACACATACACCCTCCCAAGACTAAATCAGGAAGAAGTTGAATCTCTGAATAGACCAATAACAGGATCTGAAATTGTGGCAATAATCAATAGTTTACCAACCAAAAAGAGTCCAGGACCAGATGGATTCACAGCCGAATTCTACCAGAGGTACAAGGAGGAACTGGTACCATTCCTTCTGAAACTATTCCAATCAATAGAAAAAGAGGGAACCCTTCCTAACTCTTTTTATGAGGCCAGCATCATTCTGATACCAAAGCCGGGCAGAGACACAACCAAAAAAGAGAATTTTAGACCAATATCCTTGATGAACATTGATGCAAAAATCCTCAATAAAATACTGGCAAAACGAATCCAGCAGCACATCAAAAAGCTTATCCACCATGGTCAAGTGGGCTTCATCCCTGGCATGCAAGGCTGGTTCAATATACGCAAATCAATAAATGTAATCCAGCATATAAACAGAGCCAAAGACAAAAACCACATGATTATCTCAATAGATGCAGAAAAAGCCTTTGACAAAATTCAACAACCCTTCATGCTAAAAACTCTCAATAAATTAGGTATTGATGGGACATATTTCAAAATAATAAGAGCTATCTATGACAAACCCACAGCCAATATCATACTGAATGAGCAAAAACTGGAAGCATTCCCTTTGAAAACGGGCACAAGACAGGGATGCCCTCTCTCACCACTCCTATTCAACATAGTGTTGGAAGTTCTGGCCAGGGCAATTAGGCAGGAGAAGAAAATAAAGGGTATTCAATTAGGAAAAGAGGAAGTCAAATTGTCCCTGTTTGCAGACGACATGATTGTATATCTAGAAAACCCGACTGTCTCAGCCCAAAATCTCCTTAAGCTGATAAACAACTTCAGCAAAGTCTCAGGATACAAAATCAGTGTACAAAAATCACAAGCATTCTTATACACCAACAACAGACAAACAGAGAGCCAAATCATGAGTGAGCTCCCATTCACAATTGCTTCAAAGAGAATAAAATACCTAGGAATCCAACTTACAAGGGATGTGAAGGACCTCTTCAAGGAGAACTACAAACCACTGCTCAATAAAATAAAAGAGGATACAAACAAATGGAAGAACATTCCATGCTCATGGGTAGGAAGAATCAATATCGTGAAAATGGCCATACTGCCCAAGGTAATTTACAGATTCAATGCCATCCCCATCAAGCTACCAATGCCTTTCTTCACAGAATTGGAAAAAACTACTTTAAAATTCATATGGAACCGAAAAAGAGCCCGCATTGCCAAGTCAATCCTAAGCCAAAAGAACAAAGCTGGTGGAGGCATCACACTACCTGACTTCAAACTATACTACAAGGCTACAGTAACCAAAACAGCATGGTACTGGTACCAAAACAGAGATATAGATCAATGGAACAGAACAGAGCCCTCAGAAATAACGCCGCATATCTACAACTATCTGATCTTTGACAAACCTGAGAAAAACAAGCAATGGGGAAAGGATTCCCTATTTAATAAATGGTGCTGGGAAAACTGGCTAGCCATATGTAGAAAGCTGAAACTGGATCCCTTCCTTACACCTTATACAAAAATCAATTCAAGGTGGATTAAAGACTTAAACGTTAGACCTAAAACCGTAAAAACCCTAGAAGAAAACCTAGGCATTACCATTCAGGACATAGGCATGGGCAAGGACTTCATGTCTAAAACACCAAAAGCAATGGCAACAAAAGCCAAAATTGACAAATGGGATCTAATTAAACTAAAGAGCCTCTGCACAGCAAAAGAAACTACTATCAGAGTGAACAGGCAACCTACAAAATGGGAGAAAATTTTTGCAACCTACTCATCTGACAAAGGGCTAATATCCAGAATCTACAATGAACTCCAACAAATTTACAAGAAAAAAACAACCCCATCAAAAAGTGGGCAAAGGACATGAACAGACATTTCTCAAAAGAAGACATTTATGCAGCCAAAAAACACATGAAAAAATGCTCATCATCACTGGCCATCAGAGAAATGCAAATCAAAACCACAATGAGATACCATCTCACACTAGTTAGAATGGCGATCATTAAAAAGTCAGGAAACAACAGGTGCTGGAGAGGATGTGGAGAAATAGGAACACTTTTACACTGTTGGTGGGACTGTAAACTAGTTCAACCATTGTGGAAGTCAGTGTGGCGATTCCTCAGGGATCTAGAACTGGAAATACCATTTGACCCAGCCATCCCATTACTGGGTATATACCCAAAGGACTATAAATCATGCTGCTATAAAGACACATGCACACGTATGTTTATTGCGTCATTATTCACAATCGCAAAGACTTGGAACCAACCCAAATGTCCAACAATGATAGACTGGATTAAGAAAATATGGCATATATACACCATGGAATACTATGCAGCCATAAAAAATGATGAGTTCATGTCCTTTGTAGGGACATGGATGAAATTGGAAATCATCATTGTCAGTAAACTATCGCAAGAACAAAAAACAAAACACTGCATATTCTCACTCATAGGTGGGAATTGAACAATGAGATCACATGGACACAGGAAGGGGAATATCACACTCTGGGGACTATTGTGGGGTGGGGGGAGGGGGGAGGGATAGCATTGGGAGATATACCTAATGCTAGATGACGATTTAGTGGGTGCAGCGCACCAGCATGGCACATGTATACATATGCAACTAACCTGCACAATGTGCACATGTACCGTAGAACTTAAAGTATAATAATAAAAAAAAAATGCCTGGATCCGATGCTATCTTTAAGGGACTTTTTAAGAACAACTGATTTAGTTTCTTTAATGATTAGTGTACCCTTAAGGTTCTATTGCCTTTTTTTTTAGAACTTGATAGAATTTTTAAAAAGTTGCTCATTTCACCTAGAGTTTCAAACTTGCTGGCATAATGTTGTTTACAATAACCTTTTATTATCTTTTAAATCATAATCCCTGTTGAAGTTTTAGTCTGTTTCATTACTGATACTGCTTTTTATCTTTTTCTCTCTCAGGAAAAAGCCTGCAGAAAAGCTTGCGTTATCAATTTGAAAGTCTTTTCAAAGAACCAACTTTTGGTTTTACTAACCTCTGTTGTAACTTTTAAATTTCTGTTGTTATATATTTTCCTTCTTTTTGTTTTTATTGGCTTTTTTTTCTGTTGTTCATTTTCTAACTTTTTAAATGGATGCTTAATTTTATTTTTTGTCTTTTTATTTTATTTATTTATTTTTTGAGACAGAGTCTCGCTCAGTCGCCAGGCTGGAGTGCAATGGTGCGATCTTGTTTCACTGCAACCTCCGCCTCCTGGGTTGAAGCGATTCTCCTGCCTCAGCCTCCCGAGTAGCTGGGATTACAGGCGTGCACCACCATGCCCAGCTAATGTTTGTATTTTTAGTAGAGATGAAGTTTCACCATGTTGGCCAGGATGGTCTTGATCTCCTGACCTCATGATCCACCCACCTCGACCTTCTAAAGTGCTGGGATTACAGGCGTGAGCCACCACTCCCGGCCTTTATCTATTCTTTTGAGCAAAAACTTTGAGGTGAGGGATGGAACCAGGAGGCTGTGTGGGGAAGTGTTTCAGGAAGAGGGAAAGCCTGAGGCAGGAGTGTCCCTAGTGTGTTAGAAAGAAAAGTGGGAGTGTTAGAAGTGGATGTGGTAGAGTTTCATGAAAAATTTTATGATAAACATGAAAAATGCCTTTTCATGTGGTACTTTCCATGCTCAGATATTTATTTGGTATAACAGCTGTAATGAATAGAGAAAACACTGGTCTCAGCCCCTCACTGGTTTTTTTGATTGGGGGCTTTTAGATTTCCTTCATATTCAGTTTCTGTATTGATAATTTAGAATTGTCAGGGTTAGATGAGGCAAATGTGACTATACCCACACAGTAGGTGCAGAGTAAATGTAGTTAAATGTTTCAAATTCAGCATATTTATTAAAGAGTGATTTCTATTCATTTGAGTGCACGCTTCTGTGCTTTGGGCATCCTGACCTCTGCTACGCTTGGCAGTCTGCAAACAGCTGTAATCACTATAATCAGTAGTATCCGTGGCCTCTGGAGTCTCATATTTTCCTCCTTCGCTCATTGTTTCACTGAGCTGGACTTTACTTGAAATGGTAATTTAATCTTCTTTCTTTGTATGCCATTGAAAACAGTAGTGATTGTTTTCACTGTTGTTAGTCTTAGATGCAGTGGTACCATCCCACTAAGGAGCACTGTCTTTTTCATACATTTGATCAAGGCATTTCCTGGTTGGGCTGCAATACCCACTATAAACAAAGCCACTTGTTAAACAAGTGATTACTTGTTTCTTATTGGACTGGTATGGTATTTTGCTATGTTGCTGTCATTTTCTTCCGTTAACCACCATTTCTATTTAACTGCCATCCCAGTTTTGCCCACTTTTATCCTTTAGGTCAGGGTGGGCAAAATTTTTTTGTAAAGGGCTAGATGGTAAATATATCAGGCTTAGCAGGCCACATGTGGTCTTCACCATACCTAACCTTTTAGAAATGTGAAAACCATTTTTAGCTTCTGGGTGTGCAAAAACAGACATTGGTCTGGATTGACCCACTTCTGTAATTGCCAGGATTGATCCCTACTTTAAACCATCCATCTATATATATATTTTTAATATATGGTAAAATGACAGCAAATAGTGCCTTTATTCCAGGTTGAGCTGTACTTTTTTCCCCCTTGTTGTTTCTTAATTCCTTTTATTTTTCATTACTTCTTCATTTTCTTCACCTTTGTGTTTTCTACCTGTGTTCTCCATGAATCAAGAAATCTGTTATGCTTAGTGAACGCTTTGTTTTATCCCTTTCCTTAATTACTTAATTCATATCATTTAAAAATGTTTCCCATTCCTTGGGGGCATATTGAAAGGAAAGAAGCACTTCCCTTTTTTGAATCATCCCTTTTATTACCTTTCTCTCATTTTCCTTTACTAATAGGAATGTACCAGAAAATCTAACGGGGCTGAATGTGGTGGCTCACACCTGTAATCCCAGCACTTTGGGAGGCCGAGGTGGGGGAATCACTTGGGGTCAGGAGTTGGAGACCAGCCTGGCCAACATGGCCAAACCCTGCCTCTACCAAAAATATAAAAATTAGCCAGGCATGATGGCATGTGCCTGTAATCTTAGCTACTTGGGAGGCTGAGGCAGGCTTGGACCTGGGAGGCGGAGGTTGCAGTGAGCTGAGATTGTGCCACTGCACTCCAGCCTGAACGACAGAGTGAGACCGTATCTCAAAAAACAAAACAAAACTAAACTAACAACCACAAAGAAGAAAATCTGTTAACTTTACCAGATTGCTCTTTGAAATTAATTTTCTCTTCTCCTTTGCCTGATTTGACCCCCTCTATTCTGCTACTCTTTTTCACATTATTTCACTGCAGCTTACCTGTAGCCATGAGAATAATCATTCTCAAATATTGTTTTTATTATATTACTCCTTTAAAGACAAATATATATTTAGATTTGATATTTAATATAGTAATTTGGAATTTGGAGGGTATTTTAACAACCTTCTTTTATTTTGATATATTAAAAAACAATATCTTCTGTGGAAACGAGCATGGGCTCTCTCAAATGTAGCAGTGTGTATATAGATCAGGCTATGTTTATTAGTGCTAGAAGCGTGTCATTTATTTCAAAAGTAAAACTAATGGTATGTGTATATCAAGACCCTATTGAGAGAATCTGAAATACTGTTCTTTAGTAGAAAAAAATAGGTTAAATCTTTGAAAGCCCATTTCTAGGGGTAATGTCTTGGAAGTTTTTATGCAGACCTTGCCTCATATTGTAGGGCTCAAAAAATTTTTTAAATGAAAGTGGTTATTGCATGATTTTTTCTCCTTTATGCTGAGCCTTGAGGAAGAGGAACTGGGAACAAAAAAAACGAAGAGAAATATGGCCTTTCCTTGGAAAATTGAGCAGGGAGGTTCACAATTAATTTAATACCTCAAGTTTTGTTTAAGTAATGGGAAAAGTTTTTGTACATTTGTTTAATATAAAAAGCATTGTCACTAATTTTGGTAATGGGCAAGCCATGATCTTTGAGCCTCTGACCTTTTAGGATTACATTTCTTTTAAGTCTTCTCTTGATTATTAACTTTATTTCTGAGCACATGCTGAGATTGTTAGTAAGAGCATGCTAAATCTAACCTCTTTTTCTTTTTTGGTAGTGTGATAAGATTGTGGTACCAGGGCTGAGCCTTAACTGTAATGTATATGAATCTAAGCAAGATAATCATCAATCTGGCTTGGTATACATGACATAGGAAGTCAGGTCAGATGATAGTTGCAATTCTAGCTGGTTAACAACTTTTCTTAAAAGGTGTTCAGTAATGGATTCATTTTTCTAGAAACATTAAGGTAGGTTTCTTAGAATATGACATATGGCTATGTTTATTTTGTTCTAGTCAGTGCATTTATTGATGACTTGTCAACATTATGAATATGTCAGTCTGAAGAGATGTTACATGATAGAATTAGAGTCTAAAAGATTTCAGCATGCTGAGATAGATAATCTAAAATTTGATAGAGATAAATGTGAAGTCCTAACCCTGGGTTTCAGACAATAGTGGTGACATGTTTTGCAGGCCATACCTACAGAGTTGAGTATATTTAAGAAGTTAAGTATGTGTCTAAAGTTTGATGTGGTTATCAGAAAAGTTAATGCAATCCTGCCTGTGTTTATGTAAGCATAGTGTCCAGAACAGTTAAGGTAATAGCTTCTCTGTACTGTAGTCCTTGTTTTGTTCTTGGCCTCATATTATGAGATACTGAATTTGGAGGGTGATGAGGATGATATAACAAATGAATCATTGAATTAACTTCAGGTGAAAACTTATATTCAATATAATGATTATCTTTGAATCTTTAAATGATATTTTGGGCTTATTACATGTAGATTCAGAGGCCAGAGTTAGAGTCAATGGGTGGAAATTAATTAGGATGCATGTTTGGGGCTCAGCCCAGGTAATAACCACTCACCCATGAGATGTACTGCCTTGGTGAGATAGTAAGCTGTCTATTGCTACAGATGCTCTGGCAGGGGCAATGTAACAATAAGGTCACAAATACTGCTGAGAGGAGCCCTGCACTGAGTGGAAGATCAGAATAGATGGCTTTCTAAAGTCCTTTTCAGCATGGCATTCTTTCAATATTTGTTTAGATACAGAGATATTATGACTAAATGTTTGTGCACATGTTTTCACCCACGCATAGTAGATTGTTGTTCTCTGCATTTGTCTGCGCCCCTCCCTTATCCACAACTTTTACCTGAACTCACCTTCTGTGATTGGCTAACTTTATTTTCTTTGGTTCTTTCACCTCTTGTTTTCCAGAAATTAAATTTTTGGTACAATATATATTTTTTGACTTTAGTGAATATTCTTATGAACTAAAATTTTTTTCTGTTTCCTTAATTTTTAAATTATAAAATATATTCAAAAGTGTATGAAAACTAAAATATACACATTTGATTGAATGCGCAAAAATGAAATGAGCTTTTGTGAATCTACCTCCCAAGGCAAGAAACAGAATTTTTTTTTTTTGAGACAGACTCTCATGTTGCCAGGCTAGAGTGCATTGGCGCAGTATCAGTTCACTGCAACCTCCGCCTCCTGGGTTCAAATGATTCTCCTGTCTCAGCCTCCCGAGTAGCTGGGACTACAGGTGCCTGCCACCACGCCCGGCTAATTTTGTTTTTGTAGTTTTAGTAGAGATGGGGTTTCACCATGTTGGCCAGGATGGTCTCCATCTCTTGACCTTGTGATCCACCCGCCTCGGCCTCCCAAAGTGTTGGGATTACAGGCGTGAGCCTCTGTGCCCGGCCAGAAACAGAATTTTAGCAGTACAGTCGTCTGTCAGTATTTGGGGGGAATTCGTTCTGATACTCCCCTCAAATACCAAAATCTCAGGATGCTCAAAGCCCTGCAGTCGGCCCTGAGGATATGGAAGGCAGACTGTACTTCAGGGCCTCCCATGTCTCTCTCTAATTGCATCTGTCTCTCACCCACATGCTATACTGCATTTTGCAGAAATTATTCCCTTCCTTTCTTTATATTTTATCACATATGATAGGTCCCTTAATGATCTATAATCTGGCTTTTGATTGCTTTTGTATTTTGTATAAATGGAATCATGCTATATGCATTCTTCTTGATTTTCTCGTGCACAGCATTATGTTTTTGAGATTCATTTATGTTGATGCACATAGCTGTAGTTAATTCAGTTTTACTGCTTGTTGAATTTGATTGTTTGCCTGTACCACATTCTTTTACAGTCCATTTTACTTTCGACGTTTGGATTATTCCAGTCTTTTGTTTTCATGAATAATACTGCTGTGAATATTCTTTCACATTTTCTGGTATACACGAGTAGGAGATATTCTTTTTTTTTTTAGACAGAGTTTTGCTCTGTCGCCCAGGCTGGAGTGCACTGGCTCAATCTCAGCTCATCGCAACCTCCACCTCCCAGGTTTAGGTGATTTTCATGCTTCACAGCCTCCTGAGTAACTGGGATTACAGGTGCCTACCACCATGCCCGGCTAATTTTTGTATTTTAGTAGAGACAGGGTTTCGCCATGTTGGCCAGGCTGGTCTTGAACTTCTGATCTCAAGTGATCCGCCTGCCTCATCCTCCCAAAGTGCTGGGATTACAGGCATGAACCTTTGAGCCTGGCCTGTGTGTAGGAGATTTTCAACGGCCTTGCCTTGTTGTGAAGTTGTTGGGCGTGTGCAAGTCTAGTTTTTCGTCAGAATGCCTGTTTTCCAAAGTTGCTGTCCCAGTAAGCTTTCCTACTGTGTCCGGAATTGGTGGGTTTTTGGTCTCACCAACTTCAAGAATGAAGCTGTGGACCCTCGCGATGAGTGTTACGGTTCTTAAAGATGGTATGTCCGGAGTTTGTTCCTTCAGATGTTCAGCTGTGTCTGGAGTTTCTTCCTTCTGGTGGGTTCGTAGTCTTGCTGTCTTCAGGAGTGAAGCTGCAGACCTTTGCGATGAGTGTTACAGCTCTTAAAGGCAGCGCGTCTGGAGTTGTTCGTTCCTTCTGGTGGGTTTGTGGTCTTGCTGGCTTCAGGAGTGAAGCTGCAGACCTTCGCGGTGAGTGTTACAGCTCATAAAGGTGGCGCGGACCCAAAGAGTGAGCAGCAGCAAGATTTATTGTGAAGAGTGAAAGAACAAAGCTTCCACAGCGTGGAAGGGTACCTGAGCGGGTTGCCACTGCTGGCTTAGGCAGCCTGCTTTTATTCCCTTATCTGACCCCACCCACATCCTGCAGATTGGTCCATTTTACAGAGAGCTGATTGGTCCGTTTTACAGGGGGCTGATTGGTCCATTTTACATAGCACTGATTGGTCCGTTTTGACAGAGTGCTGATTGCTGCATTTACAAACCTTTAGCTAGACACAAAAGGTCTCCAAGTCCCCTACCCAATTAGCTACACACAGAGCGCTGATGGGTGTGTTTATAAACCTTTAGCTAGACAGAGTGCTGATTGGTGCATTTACAAACCTCTAGCTAGACACAGAGTGCTGATTGGTGCGTTTACAAACCTTTAGCTAGACAGAAAAGTTCTCCAAGTCACCTACCCCATTAGCTAGACACAGAGCGCTGATTGGCACATTTACAATCCTTTAGCTGGACATAAAAGTTCTCCAAGTCCCCACCCGATCTTTAGGTAGACACAAAAGTTCTCCAAGTCCCCACCGGATTAGCTAGACACAGAGCACTGATTGGTGTGTTTACAAACCTCTAGCTAGACACAGAGTGTTGATTGGTGCGTTTACAATCCTTTAGCTAGACAGAAAAGTTCTCCAAGTCCCCACCCGACCTAGAAGCCCAGCCGGCTTCACCTCTCAATGGCACTTGCCTCGGGACCTTGCGGCACCTAGCCTGGGCACTCTGGCAGCCCAGAGGGAGCTTGTTCCCTGATGAAGCCCAGCAGGCACCAGCCGGCCTTGCCAAGTGCCCACCCGTGCCTCCCCCTCCCCACCTCCCCGCTAGCAGAGGGAGCTGGCTCCGGCCTTGGCCAGCCCCAGAGAGGGGCCCCCACAGTGCAGTGGCAGACTGAAGGGCTCCTCAAGCAGGGCCAGAGCGGATGTCGAGGCCAAGGAGGTGCTGAGAGCGGGTGAGGGCTGCTAGCACGTTGTCACCTCTCACTACCAGCAGAGGATGAGAATTCCCTTAGCTTCTCATCCTTGCCAGTACTTGGGTTTTGTCCTTGTTTTTGACTTTTGCCAATTTCGTGAGTGTGGATGGTATCTCATTGTGATTTTAATTTTAAGTTTTCTGATTCTTAATGAGGTTGAATATCTTTTCACATATGTTGTTCTTATATGTTTCCTCTTTTATTTCTATTTTTTTGCTCCCCTTTCCCATTGATCACATATATTATTTAAAAAATTGATTTGTATTTGTGTATTCTGGATACTACTTATTTGTTGATTATGTGGGCTATGTTTATCTTTTTGTTTGTAACTTGTCTTCTTATTCTCTTTATGGGGCATTGTTTATTTCAAATTCCTCAGTCTTACGTTTGATCTCCTAAATCTTTATAGTTTTTGACTTTCACATTTAGGTCTTCAATTCATTATGAATTAAGGAAATCATCAAACAGAAAAGGAGAAAAATGATGGACCTCTACCCATTTATTCATCTTCAAAAGTCTAATTCTGTTACCTTTTTTTGGGAAGTATTTAAAGCAAATCCCAGCATCAAGTCACCTTACCTGTTAAGATTTCAGTTTTGCTGATATTTTTTCTGCTTGGTATATGAGTTGCTGAGAGAGGTGTGTTAAACCCTATCATGGTGGATTTGGCAATTTCATTTTTTTTTTTTTTCTTTCTTTCTTTCTTTTTTTTTTTTTTTTGAGATGGAGTCTTACACTGTTGCCCAGGCTGGAGTGCAGTGGCGCTATCTTGGCTCACCACAACTTCTGCCTCCCAAGTTCGAGTGATTCTCCTGCCTCAGCTTCCCAAGTAGCTGGGATTACAGGTGCCTGCCACTACACCCAACTAATTTTTTGTGTTTTTAGTAGAGATGGGTTTCACTACGTTGGCCAGGTGGGTCTCAAACTCCTCACCTCGTGATCTGCCTGCGTCAGCCTCCCAGAGTGCTGAGATTGATTACAGGTATGAGCCACCACGCCTGGCCAGATTTGGCAATTTCTTATTGTGGTTATATCAGTTTTCACTTTATAGGTTTTGAGACTATCTTAAAATGTTTAGAATTATATTATCCTGCTGAATAAAATATTTTTATTATTATGAAGGGATTTTCTTTAATTCCTATAATCCTTTTTGACCTAAAATCTTTTATATCTGATATTAAATATAACCATACGAGGTTTCTTCTATACCCAGGGTGATGTATCTCTTTCACTCTCCTATTATTTTGAACTTTTGGTGTCATCATTTTAACATGTATCTTACAAGCAACATATAGCTGGCTTTTGTATTTTTATCCAGCCAACTACCTTTGTTATTTAATTGGAAAATGTGGTCAACTTAAATATATTGTGAATACTGATATTTTTTTTCTTATTTTATACTTTTGTCTTGCTTTTCCTTTTTCTTTTTCCTTTCTTGCCTTTTTTGGATTTTTTTTTTCTCTAGTAGTTTTGAAGTTATGGATTTTCCTTCTTGTAATGGTAACCTCAGCAATTTTAACATGCATATTCAGCTTATCACAATCTAAATTTCCTTAATGTCACTGTTCTCCTTAAACACTTGAATTTCAATTCCTCCAAACTTGTGTGCTATTGTTATCATCATGTATTTTAATTTCCAGCTTAAAAAAATTTAACCACACAGAGCACTGTTGTTCTTATATTACCCATGTATTTAGACCTTTGTTCTTCATTCGTATTTGCATCTCAGACTTTCCTTAAAGGATCATTTTTCTATTGCCTTTAGAATTTCCTTTACTGACAGTCAGCAGGTGACAAATTTTGTAACTTTTTACTCCTTCCAAGTTACTTTTATTTTACCCTTATTCTCAAAAGATTTGTCTTAAATAGAATTATGTTCTACCTTAGCGCATAGCAGGTACTATTTCACTTTTAGCTATAAACAATTTGGCTTCAGTATTGCTTTTGAAAAGTCAGTTTCCCTGTTATTCTTACTTCGCTGAAGGTAATCTTTCTCTTCTTTCTGGCTGCTTTTAAAATATTCTTTTTCTCATTATAAAATTCCACTATGATATTTCAGTATGTGGATCCATTTTTAGTAATCCTGTTTGGGATTCATTGGGCTTCTTGGATATTTAGATGAGTATCTTTTTTAGTTTTAGAAAGTTTGAAGAGAAGTTGCTGAGAATATTTTCCTGCCTCATTTTCTTAACTCCTGGAATGCTAATGAGATTTTTGTTAGATCTTCTGACTCTTCCATCTCTCTCTCTCTCTTTTTTTTTTTTTTTTTTTTTTGAGACAGCATTTCACTCTTGTTGCCTAGGCTGGAGTGCAGTGGTGTGATCTTGGCTCAGCGCAACCTCCGCCTCCTGGCTTCAAGCGATTCTCCTGCCTCAGCCTCCTGAGTAGCTGGGATTACAGGCATGTGCCACCATGCCTGGCTAATTTTGTATTTTTAGTAGAGACAGGGTGTCTCCATGTTGGTCAGGCTGGTCACGAACTCCTGACCTCAGGTGATTCGCCCACCTTGGCCTCCCAAAGTGCTGGGATTATAAGGGTGAGCCACTGCGCCCAGCCCATGTCTCTTTTTTAAATATGCACCATGTCTTAGACTCTCTGCTGTGGTCTGGTTAATTTCCTCTGACCTGTCTTCTAATTCACTAATTCTCCTTTAGCTTCTCTAATCAGCTGTTAAATCTGCCCATTGCATTTCTTATATCTAGTAATATATTGTTTATTTCTGGAAGTTCTGTTTGGTTCTTTTAAAAATCGATTTGTTCTCCTCATGGTGTTCTATTACTTAGTTGTGGGTATGTGACTGAATGTGTCTCTGTGGGCTGAGCTGCATATTTTTCTCAGAATTGTATCTGTGGAAAATCATTTAGGTCTAGGATGAAATTGAGTTTCTCCAGAGAAGATTGCATCTGCTTCTGTCATTTGCCTACAGCAGGGGTGTGTCCAATCATTTGACTTCCCTGGGCCACATTGGAAGAAGAATAATTGTCTTGGGCTGCACATAAAATAAACTAACACTAACATAGCTGATGAAGTAAAACACACACACACACACACACACACACACACACACACACACACAAATCTCATAATGTTTTAAGAAAGTTTATTAATTTGTGTTGGGCTGCATTCAAAGCCATCCTGGGCTGTGGGTTGGACAAGCTTGGCCTAGAGCCTCTTCTAGTCCTTGACCCCTTAAAATTAATTCTGGGTTTGAGATTTTTCAAAACAACCAAGTAGTATTTTAAGTTGTAATTAAAACTTAATTACAGCCCTGTGTGAGGGCTGGCTTGTGGCTTTGAATTCTCAGGGGAGCTGGTTTTCTTTTTGTTTTTCAAAGTTATGGGTCAGTGCAACCTTTTTAATTTTTTAAATAGTCCCTTTGGAATATGACAGCTCATTTCCAGTTTACCTTCATGCTGATATATATATATATATATAACTTTTTTAGGGTCTCCAGACTCCCTACCTTAGGTGGGTCAGTGTTCTTTGTCTCATGTTCCCAGAGGCCACCTTAGGTGGATCAGTGTTATTTGTCTCCTGTTCCCAGAGGCCTTGTGTTAGTCTGTTTTCACACTGCTGATAAAGACATACTAGACACTGGGCAATTTGCAAAAGAAAGGGTTTAATTGGATTCACAGTTCCATGTGGCTGGGGAGGCCTCACAATCATGGCAGAAGGCAAAGAGGACCAAGTCACATCTTACATGGATGGCGGCAGGCAAAGAGAGAGCTTGTGCAGAGGAACTCCTATTTTTAAAACCATCAGATCTTGTGAGACTCATTCACTATCATGAGAGCAGCACAGGAAAGACCCACCCCCATAATTCAGTCACCTCCTACCGGGTTCCTCCCACGACACGTGGGAATTGTGGGAGTTACAGTTTAAGATGAGATTTGGGTGGGGACACAGCCAAACCATATCATTCCCCTGCTTGCCCCTCCCAAATCTCATGTCCTCACATTTCAAAACCAATCATGCCTTCTCACCAGTCACCCAAAGTCTTAACTCATTTCAGCATTAACTCAAAAGTCCACAGTCCAACATCTCATCTGAGACAAGGCAAGTCCTTTCTGCCTATAAGCCTGTAAAATCAAAAGCAAGTTAGTTACTTCCTAGATACAAAGGGAGTACAGGCATTGGGTAAGTACAGCCATTCCAAGTGGCAGAAATTGGCCAAAACAAAGGGGCTATAGGCCCCATGCAGGGCAGTCAAATCTTAAAGTTCTAAAATGATCTCCTTTGACTCCACATCTTGTATCTGGGTCATGCCGATGCAAAAGGTGGGTTCCCATGGTCTTGGGCAGCTGCACCTTTGTGGCTCTGCAGGGTACAGGTGGCTCTGCAGGGTACAGCCTCCATCTTGGCTGCTTTCATGGGCTGGCATTGAGTGTCTGTGGCTTTTCCAGATGCACAGTGCGAGCTGTCAGTAGATCTGTCATTCTGGGGTCTGGAGGTGGCCCTCTCCTCACAGCTCCACTAGGCGACGCCTCAGTAGAGACTCTGTGTGGCGGCTCTGACCCCACATTTCCCTTCCACGCTGCCCTAGCAGAGGTTCTCCATGAGGGCCCCACCCCTGCAGCAAACTTCTGCCTGGGCATCCAGGCATTTCCATACATCCTCTGAAATCTAGGTGGAGGTTCCCAAACCCCATTTCTTGACTTCTCTGTACCTGCAGGCTTAACACCATGTGGAAGCTGCCAAGGCTTGGGGCTTGTACCCTCTGAAGCCACAGCCCAAGCTCTACATTGGTCCCTTTCAGCCATGGCTGGAGCAGCTGAGATGCAGGGCACCAAGTCCCTAGGCTGCACAGAGCACGGGGATCCTGGGCCCTACCCAGGAAACCATGTTTTCCTCCTACAATGGGAGGGGCTGCCATGAAGACCTCTGACATGCCCTGGAGACATTTTCCCCATTGTTTTGGGGATTAACATTCGACTGCTTGTAACTTATGCAAATTTCTGCAGCTAGCTTGAATTTCTTCTCAAAAAATGGGATTTTCTTTTCTATCACATTGTCAGGCTACAAATTTTCCGAACTTTTGTGCTTTGCTTCCCTTATAAAACTGAATGCCTTTAATAGCACCCAAGTCACCTCTTGAATGTTTTGCTGCTTAGATATTTCTTTCACTGGGTACCCTAAATCATCTCTCTCAAGTTCAAAGTTCTACAGATCTCTAGGGCAGGGGCAAAATGCCACCAATCTCTTTGCTAAAACATAACAAGAGTCACTTTGCTCCAGTTCCCAACAGGTTCCTCATTTCCATCTGTGATCACCTCAGCCTGGACTTTATTGTTTGTGCCACTATCAGCATTTTGGTCAAAGCCATTCAACCAGTCTCTAGGAAGTTCCAAACTTTCCCACATTTTCCTGACTTCTGAGCCCTCCAAACTGTTCCAACTCGTGCCTATTACCCAGTTCCAAAGTCACTTCCACATTTTCAAGTATCTTTTCGGCAGCACCCCACTCTACTGGTACCAGTTTATTGTATTAATCTGTTTTCACACTGCTGATAAAGATATACCCGAGACTGGGCAAAAGAAAGAGGTTTAACTGGACTCACAGTTCCCCAGACCCACGTGGCTGGGGAGGCCTCACAATCATGGTGGAAGGCAAGGAGGAGCAAGTCACATCTTACGTGGATGGCAGCAGGCAAAAAGAGTGCTTGTGCAGAGAAACTCCCATTTTAAAAACCATCAGATCTCATGACACTCATTCACTATCATGAGAGCAGCACAGGAAAGACCTTCCCCCATAATTCAATCCCCCCCCCACCAGGTTCCTCCCACAACACACGGGAATTGTGGGAGTTACTATTCAAGATGAGATTTGGGTAAGGACACAGCCAAACCACATCAGGCCTGCAAAGCCAAAAAATTGGTAATTGAATTTACCCAGTTTGGCAAATGCCTTCAAAGTGAAAATCAGCTTTAGAGAGCTCAATTGACCTTTCTCTGTGCCTGTGTACTTATAACTTCTGTCCTAAATATTCCTGACTTTCTTACCAACTTGTGAATGTATTTAAGAGAATGTTTTAAAATGTTTGTCCAGTGTTTTTTGTTGTTTTTATCAGGAAGGTTAGTAAAGGTTCCTAGTCCTCTGTGTTGCTATAAACAGGAGAGTCTCTGTATTTTTATTTTTGTTTCTCTATTCCTAACTAGATTTTACTATTCTTGAGGGGAGTAATCTTGCTTTGGACTTCTTTTGCCTTCTCTGTAGTACAACACTCAGTGTTCAGTGGATACTCAGTTACACAGATAGACATGTAGCTAGAAAACACTTTTGAGGGTTTCCATTTTACATATTTCATGTCTATTATATTTTTTAACCTTCCCAGTTATTTGGCAAGGTAGGTTATTTATTTATTTAAGACAGGGTCTCACTCTGTCCCCCAGGCTGGAGTACAGTGGTGCAATTATGGCTCACTGCGGCCTCAACCTCCTGGGCTTAAGTGATCCTCCTGCCTCAGCCTTCCAAGTAGTGGAGACCACAGGTACACACCACTGTGCCTGGCTAAGTTTTTTATTTTTTGTAGAGATGGGGTCTTGCTTTGTTTCCTAGGCTGGTCTCAAACTCCTGGGCTCAAGTGATTCTCCTACCTTGGCCTCCCGAAGTGTTGGGATTACAGTCATGAGCCATCATGCCTGGCCATTATTATTACCTCCATTTTACTGATCAGTAAACTAAGACTTAGAGGAAGAATTTGGATACAAATCTGGTAATAACTAGGGGTAGAATTTAGATTTGTGACTATTGACTCATAATTCTGTGTCCTTTACAATGTGCCATTTTGCTATTTAATTAATGTCATTGATATTTGACATCTCCTGATTACTTTATCTAGATATGAAAATTCCAGAGAAACCACTGGATTCATAATATCTTGATGAAATTATCTCTAAATCCTCACCTAAAATTTTTTTAGGTATTTACTTTGCTTAAGCTTTCATCAGTGACTTAAAACAATATATTGACTTCTGTTACAGAAAGCAGAAGAAAGAATTGGTCTTTTTTGCTGTTGCAGCATTGTGAAATATTTTTGTTGTAAAATATAGGTAATTTTTGTCTTTTCCAACAGGTGTGTATGTAATATAGATTGCAGTGGATACAGTTTTAATCCTGTGTGTGCTTCTGATGGGAGTTCCTATAACAATCCCTGTTTTGTTCGAGAAGCATCTTGTATAAAGCAAGAACAAATTGATATAAGGCATCTTGGTCATTGCACAGGTAAAATCCATTTTATTTATTCAGAGACCCATCTTTATTATTGTATAAATGTAATCTTATTTGTACATTTGGTAGTGTTTCAAATTTGTAAAATGAGAAATCCTCGAAGCTTTATTTTTTTATTACTTTATATTTCAGATTTTTTATTACTAATTTAGTTTTTTTTCATTATTTTCATCTTCTCAAGACATAAACCATGCTTCTTGGTTTTTTATTTAGTTAGTTCTTGGTTGCTAGCTGATCCTAACATGGAATTATAATTATTATTTATAGTTCTAATATCATCTCAAATTTGGAATGATTATAGCTATTTAAGAGTTAGATAACTTATTTTAATTTCAGTAAAACTATGTTATTGCCATATATTTGTTAAACCTCTTTTTATAGAGCATAATAGTTTACTTTGTTTTTCCATTATCTGTATCATTTTCCCTGTACATATTATGTATGATACAGATTTTGGTGTGAAGTTAGAGAATGTAAGGAAAAATTATTGCCTTTAGCTTAAAATTCTTTTCACCCTTCTTGCTTTTTGTTATAGCTTAGAAACCATGATACCATATAAGAAAGAGTTTTTGTTTTCCACCCCTACTAGAAATATTCAGTCTCTAAAGCCAGAGTTCCCAATTTTCTTTCCCCAGTAATATTCAGATGAGTTGGGAAGATGGATTATTTCCTCAGTCACATATGTGGACCAGGCACACTCTCATGGACTAGGATTGTATATCTTTCTTGCTTACTGGTTCCCTTCTTCCTCCCTTTTTAGACTTATTAAAGGGATATTATGTTTTTATCTGAGCTAAAGGGAAAAGGTTGTAAGCCAAAATTTGGTACATTATATTGGTAACAAATTATTTGTGACACACTACACAATTGATTGCAGTACCTCTGGTCTAAACTACCAAAGAATACCCAGGAAGCTCATCAGACAATTTTTAGGTAGGAGTTGAGTGTGGGCATGATAGAGGACACCATTTACTGACAGGGACCCCTTCTGGGTAGATGTCCCACTTAGCCTTGATCTTGAAGAAGTATGGTCCCCCCACCCCAGTGGGGTGGCATTTAGAGCTTGAGTGGGAAGACTAGCTTAGAGAAGGACTATGTTCTCTGAGGAAAAGATGCATATTTGAATGATACTCTACTCTTTGGAATTTCAAGTTCAGAGCACCTGGTCAGTGTATTAGTTCATCCTCACGTTGCTAGAAAGAATTACCTGAGACTGGGTAATTTATAAAGAAAAGAGGTATAATTGGCTTACAGTTCCACAGGCTATACAGGAAGCATGGCTGAGGGCCTCAGGAAACACAATCATGGTAGATGGCAAAGAGGAAGCAGGCACATCTTACATGGCCGGAAAAGGAGGAAGAGAGAACAAAGGGAGGTGTCATGCACTTTTGTAAACAACTAGGTCTTGTGAGAACTCACTCACTATTATGAGAACAGCGAGAGGGAAATCTGCCCCCCATGATCCAGTCACCTTCCACAAGGCCCCTTTTCCAACGTTGGGGATTACAATTAGACACGGCATTTGGGCAGGGACACAGAACCAAACCATATCAGTCAAGTTTGAGAGTTTAATTGAAATGCATCCTTTAGAGTGATTGGGCCTTAAGTTTTGTCTTAGTCCCCTCTGTAATTTTTCATTCACAAACCTAACTATGTCTTTCGTTTGCCTCCTCCACTAGTACTGGGAAGCTTGTGCTTCTAAACACGTGGTTATGGCTCATTTATAGTCTTCCCAGTCCAGGTGCAGTTCTCAAATCAGGGGTCATTTTTTATAGTAAGTGTTTCATAACACAGCAGAGATTCCCCATTTATCTTAATCTGATATTTCCAGGGTAACAGTGGTAGGAGAAGGTAAATCTTGAGGCAGTTGTCTTTTAGAGAAAGAAAGGTTTAACCCTTTCTTCTCAGAGTAGGTGTTGTTTTAGTTTGCATAGGAAAGAGTTTTTAAAGGAGGCGACATTGGAGCTGAAGTATAGATGAAATTGGCTATTCATCATGCAAAGAGCACTTATACCTAGGATGCCTAGAGGCCTAAGACAGAAATGACATAATTGATTTAGAGAATGGTAGACAACATGAGCAGGATAAGGGGGCAGAGGTTAAGAAGAACTTGGAATAATTTGGAATTATTGGGAGTATCATGATATGACTTAACCATTGTATATATTTTAATTTGAAAACCGTCTTCTCTTACAGATACAGATGACACTAGTTTGTTGGGAAAGAAAGATGATGGACTACAATATCGACCAGATGTGAAAGGTACTGAATCATGCATCTCCAAATTTTGGCCAGCTATGGAAATACGGTCACTAGCTGTCCTTATTAGTTCTGTTTCCATTATAACAACACCTCTAACTTTGCTCTCTATAGTAATATACCTAACACAGTTAATTATTAGTATTAATAGTAACAGAAACAGCTGAAGTTCATCTCATTTTATAAGGTACTCTCATATGTGCTTTCTTTGATTAAAGTCTGTATTGAGATAATTTTAGATGTACATGCACTTGTAAGAAGTTATACAGAAAGATCTCTCAATATGTTTTATAAAAATCCTCTTTACTCCTCTAGAATCTCCTGTTAACACTTGCCCGATGCCCAGGTCTTTGAACCTTGTTCCTTTGCCTGAAACTCTTTATTTCCTTTCCTGATTAATTCCTTCTTATCCTTTTAATCTTAGCTTGGAAGTCATTTTATTTTGGGAAATATCCCTTGAATCTGAAGTCTATATTAGATGCCTTTCCTGTATACTCCCCTCTCTGAACACTTAGCCCACTCTATTATAACTGCCTTTTTATTCATCTGTAACCTCCTCTAGGCTATGAGTTCTGTGAGGAGAGGAGAACCTGTCTGTCATGTTCACTCTGTATCCCTAACCCTAGCCGAATATCTGGTACATAAGTAGGTACTCTGTGCTTGTCTAAAGAGTGGATGTGGCTCAAAGAAGCAGTAGGTTTTATTTACACAAGGTCTCATGTAGTAAAGGTTGGAGCAGAGGCTGGATTCCAGGTCCCTTGACTTCAAGGCCACTGCTCTTTTTGCTTGTTTTCACATCCATTATTTTGTTTGATTCTTATAACTGCTCTTTGATAGGTAAGGACCAATGGGAAGATTGAGGATCAATGAGGTTGTATCTGGTTAACTGAAACAGGTCTATATCTTTGGCCTTCTAGGCCAGGACCTCTATATAATTGCTGAATTACAAGTGCATCATCTATCCATTTGTTTGGTTGCACCATTAAAAGATATGTGATCTATCTTTTATACCTAATTTCTAAACAATATGTAAAATGGGAGTGATAATAGTACCTGTTTCCTAGAGTTTCATAAAAACTAAATGAGATAATATATGTTAAGTGCTTTGAACAGTATCGGATATACTTGTAAGTGTTCAACAAATGGTAGCTGTTATCATTGAGTAATTTGTTACTTCTCTTACTTGAATCATATGAAACCTGAGTTAGTTATAACCCATGAGCTGCTGAAATATGTCTCCTATGTTGAAACAAAATGCTGTATTTAAAATAGAAAATTTCCTGTATTCTCGTAGGAGACAAAATAGGTCAGCTTCAGTTTTATTCACTATATTGATAGTACTTGACTAGAATAGGAAGGCCATTTTTCAGTATTTGGAAGCTCATACTTAGGGCAGTTTGGGGAATTGTGTGTTCTAAAGCACTTGTGTGCCATTGATAATGGATAATTTAGAGCCTAGGCCACTTTTGAGATACTGAAAATGTTTTACACATAAGAATTGATCTCTAATTTAAATGAAATTATCATAGTAGAAATAATTTATTATGTACCTAATTTATACTGGTCATTTTACTGTTTGTAGTTAGGAAGATATCTAAAATATATGCATCTTTAAAGTTCTTGTGATGTAGTAAATGCAGATAACCAACTTCTAACAAAGTAGAAATTGATTATTGCTATAAGTGTATACAGTTTAAAAGTGCAATGGGAATTCAGAAAAGTTGAGATTAATTTTTGGTGGGGAACAGTGGGAATCTGTGAAATGTCTTGGAAGAAGTGGAACTTGAGTGAACCATGAAGGACGAACAGGAGTCAGAAGGATATCTAAGGAGGATAGGAGAGCATGAGCATAGATATGCACACAATGTTATGACAGGATGTGTTGGAGAAAGGTAAGGAATCCTTTGGGCTGGAGAATAGGAGGCTTAAGAGGTAGAAGTAGAAGGCAAGACTAGAAAGACAGCTTGGGGCCAGATTGTGTAGAGTGTTGAATGCTATGCTACTCTAGGGAATTTAGACTTTATTTGTGGGCAGTGGGGAATCATTAATATATTTGAAAAAAGCAAGGCTACAAAGTTAACCATTTGAAAGAATGATACCTGGCAGGAATATTGTGCATATTGTATACATTGGAATGGAGGCAGGGATATCAGTTAGGTAAAGTCAAAAGGAATAGACATCTTAGATATGAGAGATAGAGAGTTAAAAATGACTTAAGTCTTCAAGCTCAGATGACTTAGATGATGAATTCTGTTCACAGAACTAAGGATATTAGGTAGGTAAAGGTGTTTGGAATAAAGTAAGGGAGGAGTTGATGGTGGAGATGATTGATTGTATTTTAGAGTTTGAGGTGCTTGTGGAACTCATCCAGGTCACTTTGTTCAGTATAAATTTGTGAGTCAGTCTTTGGATATAGAGGTGATAACTGAAGCCACAAGAATGAATGAGAGAGAGTATTGTCTGTTATAATAGCTACTGGCCACATGTAGCTATTTAAATTTAAATTAAAATGAAATCAGCTTGGACAACATGGTGAGACCTTGTCTCTAAACAAAATTAACCCGTGGTGGTGGTACGCGATGTGGTCGCAGCTGCTTGGGAGGCTGACGTGGGAGAATGGCTAGAGCCTAGGAGGTTGAGGCTGCAGTCAACTGAGATCGCACCACTACACTTAAGCCTGGGCGACAAAGCAAGACACTGTTTTGGAAAAAAAAAAAAAAGCATTCTAGCCCTATTTCAGATGTTCAATAGCCAGATATGACCAGTGACTACCATATGGGACAGCACAGATATAGAACATTTTCAGAGTTGAAGAAAGTTCTGTTGGATGCACTATTATTTAGAAAGGAGAGAAGGCCCAACTTGGGATGAAGCAGAAAGAGGACTGAGAGGAAGAAAATCAAGAAGAGTACACAGAAGCTACAAGGGAAAGGATGGCCAATAGCTTAAAAAACTACAGAAAGGTATGAGAAGACAAGGACTAAACTATGCTTGAATTTGAAGGCAAGGGGATCATTGACAATCTTGGACCAAGTTTCTTCCATGAAGGATGAAAGACGAAACCCAAATTGTAAAAATGTTCTCATAGGAAATAGAGGTTAAAAGGTAACTCTATTTTTATTGTGTTTATTTTTACCTCATTTACTTTTATTTATTTATTTATTTTGTTCTCACAGCATTTATAGGAGGCCCTTAGTAAATATCCACGTCTGCAACACACAGCCAAGATTGGGTAGGTAAGGCAGTGATCTGGGGATGGAGGCTACAAAATGAAAAGCAGGAACACAGCACCAGCAAGAAGCTGGAAAGATTGGAAGATAGTGCTCAGTAAGAAATGTCTTTTAAAACTTAGCTCTTAGAGAAGAGTGCTTGTGAAATGGAGCATTTGTATGTCTAGAATAGCTGCTGAATTAGAGCTTTTCTTGGGCTGTTGGAAAACCTGTGGTAAATATTGAAATTGGGGTGTTAGAAGCTCTGTTGTAGATGTTGAAGTCATAAAGGATATGATTGAGCATGAGTTGTATGGGAGATGGGTATGTGGCATTTAGAAAACATGTATCTATGATATGTAAACAGAATAGTATAATAAACCTCATATATCCAGTACCCACCTTCAGCAGCTGTCAGCATTGTCATTCTTTGTCTGTATACTTCCACCCGTGTGATTATCATTATTCTCATTTTATGGTTTTTAAAGGTGTAATTTATAGCACTGAAATGCACAAATCTTGACCAATGAATATACTTCACATATACCACATCTTATAATTGATACCATTTCCACCTGCACAGGAAGTTTCTCTGTGGTATATGACATTTTAATGTGACCATTTTGATTCAAAGATATGCTCATACAGCCTATAATCTAACTATACCACCCTTTTTATTATTATGAAGACATTCTCACTTTGTTCCTGAGCTCCACCTTGTCCCAACCCCCACCCCATCTTTGGTCTCATCCTTGAGCCTCATTAGTCTCTCCTCCTGCAGCTGGCCAGGGATACCTGAGATAGCGAGATAGTGATATCATTTCCATTACTGGTGACTGTTTAGATATTTCAGTCCAGCTCTTTTGATATGTCCTTTTAAAAACGATTTTGACAAATATGCCTCATCAAAAGGAAAGACTGTGAGCCAAGCGCTAAGATCAATGAAGGAAATCAGAGAATGTCATGGAGCTTGGTGGAGAGTCATATAGAGGATGATTAGCAGGCTCCTAAGAGAGGAAGGTGCTGGGGAGCTGAGAGTGGAATGCTGGGCTGGAAGTGACAGTGGCGAGCACATCAGGGGAAAAGGGAAGGAAGGGAATCTAGGAAGTAATGTGGCCTTGGTACATCAGGAAGATGAAAGGAGTATTTTCTAAGGGAGTAGTTGAGGTAGATGAACCTATTCATGTTAGAAAAGGTGTTTCTCTGGGCACAGTGGGCAGGCTAGGAAAGGAGGAATCAGGGCTGGTGTGGAGGACAGTGGGGTTTAGAATTGGGAGAGTGGGAGGCATTGGAGTGCGGGTAGGAGTTTATATAGTGGAAGATAATTCCTTAATGGAGTCCAAGCAGATGGTGGTTAGGGAAGGATGTGTGGAGGGATATGTTAGTGGCGAAGGCTGGGGAGGTGCAGGGTAGTATAGGGGAAGCAAGACAGAATATTTTGAATTTTTTAACTGTAGAGATTTATAGAAATAATGAGCCCTAGGGTTACTGATGCAGTGTTGATATAGTTGTGGCCTCAGTGGTTTACCTTCCAGATACATGTCTCCATTGCTAATAGCAACTCCTCATGCTTTATTTTGGTTGTACACTGTTGGACCAGGACAGATAGCCAGTGGAACAAGCCTTTGCAGATAAGCCATCTGGTACTGGGTTTTTTCATAACATCATCCCTTAGAACCACAACTATCCTTTGTATTTGAAAACACTGCAGCTGGTGGTGGATTTGTTTCTGAATGCCTCTGTGGGTGAAAGGAGCCATTTGGTGACCAAGTATACTTTTTATATTGTACACACAGACACACACACACACACACACACACACACACACGCACACACATTGTTGCAGTTGCAACAGACTAGCAGTTGCAGTTGTTGTTCTTGGAGCCTGTCACCACTTAGCTAAGGGCTTGTTTAGGCAGGATCATTCTGTGCTCAGTTCTTACTGTGTGCAGGTGACATCTCTGCTGTTGTTTCCGAAACCATGTTATGTTACATCTTTTGAGGCTTTTTATCTTTCCTTTTTGAAGTTGGCTAATTTACTTGGCCTGGAGAGCAGGTGCTTGGCCATTCTGCTTTTTATCTGTTTCCTACACATCTCCTAGGATAGCTTGGAGAAATAATACTGTAATGGCTAAGAGCTTGCTCTCTGGAGTCAGACTTGGTCTATATCTAATAGCTGTGCGTGTTGATTTCTGTGAGCCTCACTGATCACATCTGTAATTAGGGACAGTAATATCTACTACCTAAGATCACTATGAATATTAAACACTATGTTACTGAGTTCATTATCAGTGTTATTATGGTTATTTTTAATACTTTTGTTTCCTAGTTTCATGTTGAGTAACCTGGCTGTGCTCAACAGTCTCACCATTGGTGAGATAGTTATCTGTCTTGTTATTTAATATTATGGTTCATAAGTGACATCAGTAGGATATTCTTTCATTTAATAGTTATTAATTGAGTGCCCTACTATGTGCCAGGTGCTTTCACATATTTATGTTATTTAGTCCTCATAACAACCAAGTTTACCCTCATTTTGCAGATGAAGAAACTGAAGCTGCAGGAGTTTTGCCCATATAGAATGGCAGAACAGCGACTGGAATTCAGCCTTTCTGACCCTAAGTGCTGCTCCTTCCCTTTGTACCATGATTCTAGAATTCTTTTCTGCTTCCTTGCTTTCTTAATTACCTTCAGATATTTAATCCCCTCTGAGCTATTACTTTGGTGAACCTTAACACTTGTTCTCGAGCCTGGATCTTTTTTCAAGCACTGGTTTCACATATTCAGTTGCCTGGTGGGTCCTTGTACTTACTTGTTTGTTTTGCCATTGCTTCAAACTTCTGGAACTACCATAGTGCCTGGAACGTAATAGATGCTTAAAAAATACTTTTTGAATGACTGGAGATCTAAACTTGATCTCAGCTTACTACATTTTCTCTTCGGAACCCCCATCATTAGGCTCACATTTGGAGTCATTTTTACATAATTCTGTATTACAAGCATCTTCAATAAAGAGGACAGTTTGGTTCTACTAAACTCTTAAATGTGCGGGGTTAGTGCTGGGTACCACTCTTCAAGATAGTTGTAAATTGTTTGAGTAGGGGTGGGACTGGGGAAATCTGAGCTTAAAAATAAAGGATTGGTTAATAGAGGGGAGAGGGTAAACAGATGTGGGGAAGTCTACACCAAGTTGAAGCGAGGTTTCATTCAACATAAAGAAAATCTGATGGTATTAGAATAAACTGTATTATGAGTTCTGGAAGTGTTCAAGTAGACATAGGCTCTGAGAGTTATAAAACTAAAGAGATTCCTTTATCAAACCAGATGGCCTCCAAGGACCCTTCCAGATCTGAGTTTCTGAGCTCATTCACTTTCCAAAACATCTTCAAACCATTTTTATTTTTTCTGTGTGTCTAGTATCTACTCCTATTGCTGAGATTTAGCTTAGCTTCTTGTTGCCACAAGTTTGGATTATGTACTAACCTTCTTATTTTTTTGAGACACAGTCTCGCTCTGTCACCTAGGCTGGAGTGCAGTGGTGCGATCTCAGCTCACTGCAACCTTCCACCTCCTGGGTTCAAGTGATTCTTGTGCCTCAGCCTCCTGAGTAGCTCGGCTTACAGGTGTGCACCCCATTCCCAGTTAATGGATTATGTACTAACCTTTTAATTGGTCACCTGATATATATATATGGTCTTCCTAGTTCCCCTGCCCCATTATCTTGTATGCTGGTATCCAATTAATTATTTTAATATCTTTATTGAGATTCCATTTACATGCCATTAAGTTCATCTGTTTAAAGTGTGCAATTCAGTGGTTTTTAGTATGTTTACAGAGTTGTAAAAGTGTTAATCATAATCTAATTTTAGAACATTTTCTACACCCCTAAAAGAACCTCCACACCCATTATTAGTCAGTCACTCCCCATTCGCTTAACCACCAGCTCTAGGCAACTACTCTCAACTAATTTTCATGTAAAACCCGGCTTTCCCTGTGCTGCTCTTCAAAAGGCCTTTAGTGTCTTCCTTGTCCATACGATGAAGAAAACATGTCTCACCTAGAATTCAAATTTTTCCATAATCTAGTTTTAGCCTACTTTTCCAACTTTGACATATACCCTTCGCCAGTCTGAATGTATCACTCTACCTGGGTTGCTACTGTTTATTCTTGAGAATGCCATGTGCATTATACCTTCCCTTTGCCTTCCACCATTCCTCTGTCTAAATCTATTTATGCTCTGAGTCTTAACTTAAGTCCTACCCTATCAATAAATCCTTTAGCCTACAGTGAATTCTCCTTTCAATTTGAACTTCCATAGCACCTAGTGTTATAAAACCATCTTTTGCCGTTTAATTGTAAACTGCCACATGGGACCCCTTCCCCTTGTGTTATTCAGCTTTTCATGTGTATATGCTGATTTTCTAAATTGACTATAAGCTTCTTGAGGGCAAGGACCATGCATGCTTTTTTTTTTTTTTTAATATCCTCTGTAGCTTAGCTGAGCATGTAGCTATGTCCAGAAATAGTATGTACGTTTAATGGGATGAATAAAGTTGGCATTGAGCGGAATATTAGACTCTGTGAATTCGGACGTTGTCACAGGATTCAAAGCCTTATTAGACATGTTCATGTTTTATATAGCCTCACTTTGCCTACAGCTTGATACCACATTCTTTCATTAATTCATTCAGTATATGTTTATTGGTGCCATACTTTTCTTATTAATTTCTCAAAACCTTGTTTTTAATTTGGTTAACTTCCTCTGACTGCTTTCACCTAGCTGAGTTCTCTTATAGCTTTCAGCTCTGCATTATTCTTGAAATTCCTTGCTGTTTAAAGAACTTCTTATGGTAGATTAGTACATTACCACAGCCTCTACAGACCTGCACCGTCCTATTACTAGGACTCTATCCTTATAGGACTTTATTATCATAGGTTGGTGCATAACGTTATTCTCTATAGTCCCATTGTTATACCCTTTCATGACCATGTTCTGAGAAATGCTATGGGAGATGACCACTTTCCTCAATTCACTTATGGCCTGATTGGGAATGTAGAGTGGCATTTTTAGTTTGAAACTGTAGCAAGAAAAGTATATTTGATCTCAGTTATTTGGCTTCTGATAAACTATTTCTCATCAAAGCTAAATTACTTCAGGAAAGTCTTCTGCTTGGATCACAAGTATTAATAAATAAAAGATGTGATAATTAAGTTTTGACCTCTGTTAGGAAACACAGGATAGGACTACTGCAGACAGCCCAGTTCACTAAGGAATTCAAGATGGAAACCTTTATTGGATAATAATTTTGTCAATGGAAAACAACAAAGATACAATTTATAACTGTTTTTTCTCCCTTTACCAGGAGAAAATTAGAATTTATTCATTTAACAAACATTTGTTGAGCACGGAACAATACTTGGTAATACTTATTTATTAAGTACTTATTGTTTGCCAGGCATTTTTCTAAGTTCTGTACACACTTACATACTTAATACACTAAATATATTATCTCATTTAGGCCTCAAAACAACCCTACAAGAAGTAGACATCACTGTCATCTTCATTTCTCAGATTAAAAACCTGAGGGCCAGAAATAGTTAAGTAACTGCCTTTGGGTCACACAGCTAGAGAGTGTTGTAACCAGGATTCAAACCTAGGCAGTCTGGCCCTAGAGCTGTGTGCTTAGCCATTATATGTACTACATTCTAAATGTTAGGAGTTATACAGAAACGAATAACACAAGCAGCTAGATTATTAAGGAGCTCACAGTCTTATGGTAGAGGCTGACTTAAAAAACCCAAATAGCAATAAAACAGGCAGTATTGTGAGTGTTATAATAGAGGAGTAAGTGCTCAGGATCATAGCAGCCCAAAAGAGAGCTTGATTTCTTTTGCAATGGCAGAATTATAGTATGGGAGCTGGAAGAGACCTTATAAGCCCTTTGATGACAGAATATGTTTTCATTTTTGTATTCCCAGCACCTAACAGAGTACCCAGCATATACAAGGTGATCAGTAGATGATAAATTAGTGATCTGTTTTGCACTTTCCATTATGATAGCTACTAGGCTCGTGTGGCTATTGAGCACTTGAAATGTGGCTAGTCAGAATTTAGATCTTTTGTGGGTGTAAAATATCAGAATTTGGAGACTTATTTTAAAAAGTAAAAATATCTCAATTTTTAATATTGGTAGTATGTGAAAATGATATTTATTGGCTATATTGGATTAAAATATATGATTAAAATTAATTTACTTGTTTCTATTTACTTTTTAAAATCTGGGCTACTAGAAAATATAAAATTACATATGTGTCTTGTACTATACCTATGTTGGGTAGTGCTGGTCTCATTCAGTTCCCTCAGAGAGAAGAAGTGATTTGAACGAGGTCACAAAGCAGTAAAGACATTTTTTAAATTGAGAATTTATATGTTAGGTTCCCTGACTTTTAGGTCTATTCTCTTTCTAGGCATAAATTAAATTAGCACAATGTAAATATATACACTTTGAGGAAAAATAATATCATTTTGGTCTGATTTCTCTCTGCTTTAGTTCCACTGTCACTGACCTTAATAATCATTAAGGTTTTTTTCTGTCTATATGTAAATTTTGATCCTCAGAAAATCCGCGTTTTTGGTTCTCAGGGTTTTTTTACACTTGGCACCTCTATTCTCACTTCTCCCTTGATCTTCCTCTTGATCTTCTCCATACACATACATATAACTCACTATTTCATTCCTTTTTAATTTGTTTCCATTAACATTAAAAAATTTTATTAATACCTTTTATTTGTATTTTGGGGAGATAGGCCCTGTGATGTTACATGATGTGCTATATAAATAGCTGGTTGTTTTGGTGGTATTGTACATGCATTTGTTATCTCCTTTAGTCCTCTCAAAACTGCATGAAGTATAGGTCCTATTATTCTGAATTTATAGTTATGAAGTCTCAGGTTTAAGAGGGTAGTATACTGCAGGTACGGCTGTAGTGCACAGAGTCTGTTAGCTAGAACTGTGTAAGATAGAAATGGCAGGAAGCCTGGGGATTTTTCCTGCACATGGACAGGCCTGTAAATATTGCGGAATTCTGGGTCCTTTGAGCTTAGGATTAATGTATTGGTGCATATACCAAAAAAAGTACAAAAATCCATTCCCAAATTTATTTGTGTATGTGTGTGTGCATATGTGAGTGTGTGATGTATATACAGAGAATGAATGAGTGAATGAATCTGATTTTGAAGACCAAGTTCCTATGTTTTCATCTTTCCTGACCTGTTCCATCTCTCCTTCCTGACTCTCTTCATTTTCTTCACTTCAGTTCAGTTCAAATCATTATACTTAAGTCTGAGCAGATGTTCATCAACATGTTGACAGTGTTTTATTTTTGGAGAGCGAAATCTCAGGTTATTTTGAATTTCTTTTTTAACCTCTGTATTACTTGAATTTTTAAAATAATGACCATATACTAAGAAAAACTATATGAAAAGAGCAGCAAAGCTATTTTCACTTGGGAAAAAAATCAATGTGCTTGATAATTTTCATTCCAAAAATAAACCTTTAACCCTAAAATTTCAGAGTCCCTTAATTTGCTCTCTGTCATTCAGTGTTCTTTGGCCTCAATTTCATAGCCCTCAAATAAATGATTAAGTTCATTCCCCAAAAGCCAATTCTATGTACACCATCTGTCTGTCACAGAGGTGAACTTTCTTTTAGAGCATTTATTTCTTTAGCAAAGGTGTTTAGTTTTCTTTGCCAGATTGTTTTTAAACAACAGTAACTCCTAGCAGTCACATTCTGCAAATATTTTTAAATGCTTTGAATCTAAACAGTTTACCTGCTGTGTTTATGGCATAATAGGAATTAGAAGAGACCCTGGATCTTATCTAACCCCCTATCTGATAAATTTTCTTTTCAAATTGCCAGTAGGTGGTTGACAGTGGGTGAATTCATTTGCTGTTTCAGAACATTTGAAAAGTCCTTATTTTTCAGCTTGCGTTTCATTGTTGAACGATCTGGTTTATGTTCTTTTAAGATGCTAGTGATCAAAGAGAAGATGTTTATATTGGAAACCACATGCCTTGCCCTGAAAACCTCAATGGTTACTGCATCCATGGAAAATGTGAATTCATCTATTCTACTCAGAAGGCTTCTTGTAGGTAAGTCAGCGCTTCCAGATCAGTGGTGAGCATTTTTTTTCATCAATGGTTGTTGCTCTATAGAAGGGAATGAAATGTAGACTAAATATTACCAGAAAGTAGTGTTTATTTGCAGTAGACAAGTAAAAAACAAATCAGCAGCATCATTTGGAAAAAAAAACTGGCAAGTAATATGCAGAAAACAAAAATCTTTTTTTTTTTTAGGGCTTAACATTTTAAATATAATACTATACATTTTTAATACAAAAAATAAATGTGCCACATTCCAACACTATTTTGGTTTTTAGGCAATCTGTCACAAGGTGGCTGAGGGACTAAAGACTGTATTAAGAACAGAGAACATGTAACTCAAATAAAATATGTGCTAAAATAGATTTCTAAAAATAAGGGGATGGGGACGAAGAACCAGGTGTGAATTGAGAGATGAAAATGGAAAGGGCGTAAATCCTCAAATCCCTGATTCCAGAGAGGTTATGTAACTTGTTCAAGGTCAACAGCAAGTTAGAAATAGAGCTGGGAAAAAACTAAGTCTCAGACTTTCCGATACCCTACCTGATGATCTTAGTGTTTTTTGCTGCTCTTGCCTGTCTGCGGATACACCTTTTTGCTGCTGCTGCTAGAAGCTCATCATCTGCTTGATGTTGGTCTAGTTAGCCAGGTGATGTTTCTATAGACAAGGGGACATTGCTGTCATTTTGCTCACCCTTGCCTCCTGGAGTTTGACCAGATCCTTTTTTTCCTTTCTTAGTCAAAACATCGAAACATGGAGAAATACTATACTTTTCTTTTGTTTGGTCCACCTAGAAGCCAGTGAATCTTTCTTTCCAAAAAAATAAGAGGAAGCAATTGGAAATCCAGTCTCTTGGGTCCTTCTACTTCTTTAGCTCCCTGCTCCTGATTTTTTTCACCTGCCTTTCTCCTGCTTAAAAAAACAAGAAACAAAACAAAACACTGTAAACTGTTAATGGTTGAATAGTTCTTTAAGACATTTGCTTTTTCCTGATTGAAAGTTCTCCTTGTCTTTGAAGGAGCTAGCCTTCTCTTCTTTTTTTTGTGAACATTTAAAAAATCTAGCTGTACGAATGGTAACAGGCCAGGTTTTTTTTTTTGTTTGTTTTGTTTTGTTTTGTTTTGTTTTGTTTTGTTTTGTTTTGAGATAGAGTCTTGCTCTGTCGCCCAGACTGGAGTGCAGTGGTGCGATCTTGGCTCACTGCAACCTCGGCTTCCCAGGTTCAAGCGATTCTCCTGCCTCAGCCTCCTGAGTAGCTGGGACTGCAGGCATGTGCCACCATGCTTGGCTAATTTTTTGTTTTTTTGAGATGGAGTCTCGCTCTGTCACCAGGCTGGAGTGCAGTGGTGCGATCTCGGCTCACTGCAACCTCCGCCTCCTGGGTTCAAGTGATTCTTCTGCCTTGGCCTCCTGAGTAGCTAGCACTACAGGCATACGCCACCATGCCCAGCTAATTTTTGTATTTTTAGTAGAGATGGGGTTTCACTATGTTGGCCAGGATGGTCTTGATCTCTTGACCTCATGATCCGCCCGCCTTGGCCTCCCAAAGTGCTGGGATTGCAGGTGTGAGCCACCATGCCCAGCCTAATTTTTTGCATTTTTGGTAGAGACAGGGTTTTGCTGTGTTGCCCAGGCTGGTCTTGAACTCCTTAGCTCATTAAATCTGCGTGCCTCAGACTCCCAAAGTGCTAGGATTACAGGTGTGAGCCATTGCTCCTGGCCCAGGCCAATTTTTAAACTAAATCTTATAGTGGGCTCTTCATGTTTGTCCTACAGTGGCATGGATAGCTTGATAGAAGTTTGGATCTTGTCCTCTTAGGATGGTGCGTCTTTCAAGATACTTAAATGAAGGACGAGAGAGAGGATCATGTTCTGGTAATGATGTGATACAAGGTCATTTTCTAGTATTTTACTAACTGAAAGTAAGAGGATTGAATCGTGTACAGGTTAAAGGCTTTGAAATTGGATACACTGACCTGGCCAATTATTAGCTGTGTGTTCTTTGGAAGTTACGTAAAATATCTAAGCCTCATTTTCATCTTTCTGAAAGTAGAATAGTAATAGTACCTATCTCATGTTGTTAAAATTAAGTGAGATAATATATGTAAAGTGCTTAGCCTGATACCTGGTATGTAGTATGTACTTAATGAATAGCAATTGATATCATTATACTCTAAGCCCGTTAGTCAGGGGCTCTTTGTTTTGTTAACCACTATTTTCCCTGTGCCTAGTATAGGACCTAGCCCAGTAGGTACTCAGTAAATATTTTTTGAATGACCTGTGATGATGATAAATTTTTAAGAGGAATATCTTAAATGCTAAAGAATCCCTTTTCTGCACAATTATAACTCCTTAAAAGCAGTTGATCTTTTTCTTTTGTCTGAGTCTGTGCAGTGTCTATAGGAATCAGGCCATGATATCATGTGCACTTCTGCTAGTAGGTAGGTGTGTTTGCATAGCAGTAAACAGGCAAGGATAAACAGCCTTTAGCCACAGTCCTATTGTTAGGTTAAAATCTTCTAGCATTATGGTACCACTGATTTTTCGTTTTGTTTTTGTTTTGAGATGAAGTCTTGATCTGTCACCCAGACTGGAGTGCAGTGGAGCAATCTCGGCTCACTGCAACCTCCACCTCCCAGGTTCAAGCGATTCTCTTGCCTCAGCCTCCCAAGTAGCTGGGATTACAGGTGTGTGCCACCATGCCTGGCTAATTTTTCTATTTTTAGTAGAGACAGGGTTTTGCCATGTTGGCCAGGCTAGTCTCGAACTCCTGACCTCAGGTGATCCACCTGCCTCAGCCTCCCAAAGTGCTGGGATTACAGGCATGAGCCACCGCACCTGGCCTGATTTATTTTTTGATTGATTGATTGGTTGATTGACTTATTAATGCCAAATTCTCCCTGATATTGGGGTGTCAAATTCAACTATGACAGAGATCCAGGGATCTTGCCTTTAAAAAGCATACAACCTGGTGAAAGAGACCGACAAATAAGTAATTATAATATGGAAAATGCTATCATACACAGCTATACATGAGGCGATTTGGGACTTCAGAAAAGGCACATCAGCCTGAAGATGGGTGGGGGACATTGTTGGAGGAAGGGTCAGGTCTTACAGGAACATTTGGGCCATCCCAGGAGCTTGGCTTTTATTTTAAAGGCAGTGAGAGACGATTAGAGGATTTTAAGTAGCAATGATGAGATCAAATCTGAAAGCCACTCTGGTGACATTGTGGAAAGTAGATTAGAAAATTTAGGAGACTTAGTAAGAAGTAAGGGCCTGAATTAAGTATAAAGGAGTTGTGAGGCTGAGAAAATAAATGGATTGCAGAGAGATCATTAGGTGGTTGAACTCACAGATGTTGGTGACCGACCTGTTAGGTTGGATATGAGCACGAGAACCTGGGGATTGGTGGAGGTTAGTGGGATTAAGAGTCAGGAGAGTCTCCTGGCTTTCTGGCTAACACAGGATTGAGTGGGAAATGCATTGGGAAGAGGGAGAAGGTTTGAGGGGGAATGATATATTCAGTTTGACGTGCTTGGTCTAAGATGCCTGTGGGATATCCGCTTACAGATGTCTAGTGGGCTGCTGGATATATTTTAGTTTTGGAACTGATGAGAGAGATGTGATTGAAGACATACATTTGAGAATCATTCCCTCTCTAGCATATCCATTTTACTTTCTACCTAGCAATTCTTCTATCCCACTAGCCCTCCCATTTATTGATCCTATCACCTTTTCCGTGTCCCTCCCTGGATATTCTCTTCCCCTCGTTAGTGTAAATTCCATGGCCAGTCATTGTAGTTCCCTTTGCATTTGAATCCCACATTCCTCTATTGCTTCATCATACTCACTTGCCAAAACTGTAGTCCTGGTTCCTCCCAGCTCTCCACCCACTGCATACCTATACATGCAGTTGATCATGGCTGTCGGTGAAAAGCACACCACCGGTTAACTCGTCTCACTGACATACCGATCGGTCTCAAGGTGGGCCCTTTATGCTGCCCTGGCAGTCATTCTACACCTGCAGTTTATACATTCTCCTCCTCTCCTGTATGATTTCTTTGTACCTTCTCCTCTCTCCTCAGATTAGCAGTACCTCCTCTCTCATCCTCACTCTTGCCTGTTGATCTTCTTTCCAAGTTCACTGAGAAAATGGAAGCAATATGAGAACTTGCACACTTTCACTATCACCTACCAGCAAGCCTCTCCCTGTTTCTCTGTATCATAGAACTTGATATCAGTATATCTCATATATATTGATAAACTTTTATTTATTCCATCTTGGAAAAAAACTCCTCATTCTCATTCCCACCAGTTACTGTCCTGTTTGTTTCCTTTCCTTCATAGAACTCAAAAGAGTTGTCTAAAGTCTATCTCCAGTTCCTCACTTCCCATTTCTCTTGAACTCACCCCAACAAACTTTTGTCCCTAACACTCCACTGAGACTGTTCTCATTTCTAAATTCAGTGGTCAGTACTTAGTCTCAAATTACTTTTGAATGATCAGTGCATTTGACACACTTGTTCACCCCCTCCTGTGTGATATGCATTCTTCACTTGGTGTCAAGAATTATACTGTCTCTTGTTTTTTTCCTACTTCGCTGGATGTTCCAGTTTTCTTGGCTGCTTCCCACTTTGCTCCTTGACCTCTCAATGTAGTAGTGTACCCGGGTTCAGTCCCAGTCCTCTTCTCTTACAGATTCTGTCCAGTCTCAGGACTTCCCATGACATATGCTAATAACTCCTAATTTACATAAATCCCAGACTTCTCTACTGAATTTGAAACTCGTAGATCCATATGCCTCCTTTACATTTCCACATGGACGTCTGACACCTCAATCTCAACAGGACCAAAGCTGATCTCCTGATCTGCTCTCCCTCCCTAAACCTGCTTTACCTGCCACCTTCTTCATCTCAGTTGATTCCAACTCCATCTTTTCAGTTGCTCAGACAAAACACCCTCTGATGTATCTCTGACTTCTCTTTCGTATCCAATCAGCTGGGAATTCTGTTTCAGAATATCTCCAGAATTTGGTTACTTCTCACCATTGCCAGTGCTGTTCCTAGTGCAGGCCAATGTTTTCCTGGGATTTTTGCAGTAGCTTCCGTGATTGTATTCTACAGTCCATAATCAAAACAGCAGACAGTGAGTGCCCCCGCCTTTTTTCTTTTTTCTTTTTTCTTTTTTTTGAGACAGGGTCTCACTCTGTTGCCCAGGCTGGAGTGCAGTGGTGTGATTTCAGGTCACTGCAGCCTCCACCTCCTGGGTTCAAATGATTCTCATGCCTCAGCCTCCTGAATAGCTGGGATTACAGGCGTGCACCACCACACCTGGCTATTTTTTGTATTTTTAGTAGAGATAGGGTTTCAGCACGTTGGCCAGGCTGATTTTTGCATTTTTTTGTAGACAGTTTCATCATGTTGCGCAGGCTGGTCTCGAATTCCTGACCTCAGGTGATCCACCTGCCTTGGCCTCCCACAGTGCAGAGTGAACCTTTTAAAATAAAAGTCAGTTCGTATCATTCCTCTGCTAAAATCCTTCCAGTGGTTCCTTCATCTCACTAAGTGCAGAAGGCCCTACAGTTTTGTCTCTTCACCTCTCTGTCTGGCTCTCCTCTCCCTCACCCCCTCTTCTGCAGCCACACTTGCTGTTCTTGGGCATGCCATGCATGCATGGATGCTCCCACTTTAGGGGACTTGCACTGGCTCTTCCTTTGCCTGGTATGCTGTCCTCCAATTGTTTGCATGGCAGGCTCCTCACCTCCTTCAAGTCTTTACTCACGTGTTACCTTCTTAACCTACCCGGATTGCCTTATTTAAAATTGCAACCCTCCCTTCCTGCAACTTTCCTGGCTCATACCTGGTGTTCGCAGTTTCCCTTAACACCTCACACCCCACATCCCCTGTAGTGCATATCACCTTCTAACATAACCATTTAATTCACTTACTTTGTTTATTGACACTCTTCTCCCGGTAGCTGGTAAGCAGGCCAGGGATCTTTATCTGTTCTGTTCACTGATACATCCCAAATGCTCACCACAGTAGGTGCTCAATAATTGTGGTAAATGGATGTGTGAATGAATTCACACGTGAGACAGTGGGAGTGAATGGGATTGCCTGTGGAAGGTGTTTTGGGATGAAAATAGAAAGTGGAGGACTGAATCCCTGGATCTGCCTTTAATCAGTAACAGAAGAAGAAGTAATAACCTAGAAGTTAGTACTCTAGGTATTAGGAGAGTGTATTAGTCTGTTTTCACTGCTAATAAAGACATACCCAAGACTGGGCAATTTACAAAATAAAGGGTTTAATTGGACTTACAGTTCCACGTGGCTGGGGAGGCCTCACAATCATGGGGGAAGGCAAAGAGGAGCAAGTCACATCTTACCTGGATGGCAGCCAGTAAAGAGAGGGCCTGTGCAGCAAAACTCCAGTTTTTAAAACCATCAGATCTCGTGAGACTCATTTACTGTCACAAGAACAGTGCAGGAAAGACCTGCCCCCATAATTCAATCACCTCCCACTGGGTTCCTCCCACGACACATGGGAGTTGTGGGAGTTACTATTCAAGATGGGATTGGGGTAGGGCACAGCCAAACCATATCAGATAGTATAACCAAAAGTCAGTTGGAGAAAATGATATCCAGGGAGAACTGCAGGGATGATATATGGCCTATTGGTTCTTTTTGATACTCTGATTTTAATCTTTGGCTTAAGCCAAACCATTAGAGAGCTGCATATCTAGGACATTGTTACAGCTCCTTATGGAACTGTTTTTATATTACTGAGCTTTGACTATTGGCCATTAGCCTACCATGAAGGACATTATTTAAAAAATCCCATGAGACTTCATTATATCATTGAATTTACTGCAGCTGTGTTGTTGAGGATAATGTTCTTTATGTTAGAAGGTGCCCTCTTTAAATGAGGACCAATGAGATTAAGTTCCCTTAAGTTTCATAACAGTAATAACTGTGCTTCTTTTGAATGACTTGTTTGATTTTATTTTATGGAGATTGTATTTTGTGTCAACTGTCCTCCCTCCCTCCTTCCTTCCCTCCCTCTCTTCCTTCCTTCCTTCTCCATTGGTGTTTAATATATGCACAGAGTTGTGCAACCATCACCACAATCAATTTTAGTACATTTTCATCTCCTCAAGAGGACACCTCATACCCTTTAGCTTTTACTCCCAAATCCCCTCATGCTCTCTAGCTCTAGGCATCCGCTAATTTATTTTCTATCTCTATAGACTTACCTATTCTGGATAGTTCATGTAAATTGAACTATATAGTATGGGGTCTCCTGTGTCTAGCTTTTTTTAACTTAGCGTAATATTTTCCAGGTTCATCCATGTCATAACACATATCAGTACTTCATTCCTTTTTGTGGCTGAATACTATTCCATTGTATGGATGACACCACATGTTTTTAATCTACTCATCATCAGTTGATGAAAATTTAGGTTCTTTCCACTTTATGGTTATTATGAAAAATGCTGCTCTGAATGATCATTTGCAAGTTTTTGTGTGAACGTGTTTTAATTTCACTTGGGTAAAGCTTAGTGGTAGAATTGCTGGGCCAAATGGTAACCCTGTGTTTAACATTTTGAGGAGCTGCCAGACCGTTTTCCAAAGTGGCTGCACCATTTTACACACCCTACAGTACCTTTGACAACACTTGTAATTATCTGACTTTTTGATTTAGGCTATCGTAGTAACTGTAAAAACTGGCATATACGGTGGCTTTGATTTTTATTTCCATGATGGCTAATGATGTTGAGCATCTTTTCATGTGCTTATTGGCTATTTGTATATCTTCTCTGGAGAAATGTCAGTACACATCCTTTGCTCTTTTATTTTTTGGCTATTATTGAGTTGTATTAGTTATTTATATATTCTAGATATAAGTCCCTTATCAGATATATGGAACTTACTTTTTTTTTCCATTTTGTGGCTTGTCTTTTCACTTTCTTGATAATGTCCTTAAGTACAAAAGATTTTAATTTTGATTTAGTGCTATTTATCTTTTTTGTTGTTGTTGTTGCTTTTGATTTTTGGTGTCATATCTAAGAAACTGTTGCCTAATCTAAGGTCACAAAGATTTACTCCTATGTTTTATTCTCTTCTAAAAATTAAATTTATTTAAAAATTGACAAAATTATGTATACATATTATGTACATCATATTTGGAAATATATATACATTGTGAAATGTCCAATCAAGCTGATTAACATATGCATTACCTCACATTGTTACCACTTTTGTGGTGAGAACACTTAAAATCCTCAGCATTTTCCAAGAATACACTGCATTGTTAACTATAGTCACCATGTTGTACACTACATTTCTTGAACCTATTCCTCCCATCTAACTGAAATTTAGTATCCCCTGACCAACATGTCCTCAAAGCACCTCCTACCACACCAGTCCCTGGTAACCACTATTCTACTCTCTACTTCTATGAGATCAACTTTTTTAGGTTCCACATATGAGTGGGATCACTCAGTATATGTCTTTCTATGCTTGGCTTATTTCACTTAATATAATGTTCTGGAGGTTCATCCATGCAAATGATAGGATTTCCTTCTTTTTTATGGCTGAATAGTATTCCATTTTGTATATATACCTCATTATTTTATCCATTTATTTGTTAATGGACACTTAGATTAAATCCATATCTTAGCTATTGTGAATAATGCTGCAATAAACGTGGTAGTGCAGATATTTCTTCAATATACTGATTTTATTTCCTATAGTTATATACCCAGTAATGAGATTGCTGGATCATATGGTAGTTTTATTTTTAATTTTTTGAGGAACTTCCATACGGTTTTCCATAATAACTGTATCTTATGTTTTTTTTCTTCAGAGTTTTATAGTTTTAGCTCTTACGTTTAGATCTGCGATCCATTTTGAGGCAATTTTTGTGTATGACACGAGGAAGAGGTCTAGCTTCATCCTTTTGTGTGTGGATATCCAGTTAGCACCATTTGTTGAAGAAACAGTTCTTTCCCCATTGAGTTATCTTAGCACCCTTGTCAAAACCAATTGACCATAGATGTATGGGTTTATTTCTAGGCTCTCCATTCTCTTCCATGATCCACATACCTGCCCACTGCTTGTTTTTTTTTGTTTGCTGGAAAGCGTAGAGCCCAATGTGAAATGTACTGGGAAGTGTCTAGGAACCTCAGGGACTGGATTGGTAGACTTGCAGCACCCCTGGATTTCCCTGTTTCCCTCCTCCCACATTTCTTTTTTGTTGTTTTAATGTGTGCTTTGCGATAAGCTGCCTCAAATTCTTTTCTTAATGAGTTGTGGGACATTCATAAATACTGTTTTTATACTTCAAATGTTTTATTAATCAGTTCTCACTGAAGGCTGGCTAATTTATACATTTCACTGCTGTCAGCTTAAAAATGTAAATTGTCTGTTAAGTGTCTTAAATATTTCTCCCTGTCAAATTATCATCAGCTGATGCAGTTGTCTTTTTATCTACTTTTAATTGGAATTCAGATAATTTCCAAGATTAGCACCTACAGCTTACCTCCTTGACTGCTTGACATTGTTTCTGTTATTAATAACTTATTTTCATCTTCCCCTTGCATCTTACATGTTTATATTTTATACACTGAAAAGTGTCTTGAATATAATTTGGTGCTATGTTCAGAGGACTGTAAATGTTTATACCTATTTTTTCAATAGTCTTAATTTTCAGGTACTTAGCCCTAAGGAATAACACTAAATATAGAAAAGCGCATATTCACCAAGATGTTTACCACATCTAATTTATAATTGTGAAAAATTGAAAATAACTGACATGTCTTAGAACTGGGAATAGATAATGCTAGCTATATTATAGTCACTGGATGGAGTATTATATTTCTGTTTTGAAATTATATGTATCTATTTTGAAAAAAATGCTAAGAGAGTAGATTTTAAGTGTTCTCACCACAGACATGATAACTATATGAGGTAATGCATATGTTAATTAGCTTGATTTAGCCATTCCACAATGTCTATACATTTCCAAATATCATGTTGTACATCAGTGGTCCCCAACCTTTTTGTTGCCAGGGACTAGTTCCGTACAAGACAGTTTTTCCATGGACTGGGGATTGGGGGTGGGGGTGATGGTTTGGGGATGATTCAAGTGCATTACATTTATTGTGCACTTTATTTCTATTATTATTACATGGTAATACTTAATGAAATAATTATACAACTCACCATAATGTAGAATTGGTGGGAGCTCTGAGCTTGTTTTTCCTGCAATTAGACAGTCCCATCTGGGGGTGATGGGGGACGGTGACAGATCCTTAGGCATTAGATTCACATAAGGAGCACTCAACCTAGATCCCTTGTGTGCGCAGCTCACAATAGGGTTTGCGCTCCTATGAGAATCTAATGCCAGTGCTGATCTGACAGGAGGCGGAGCTTGGGTGGTAATGTGAGTGATGGGGAGTAGCTGTAAATACAAAGAAGCTTTGCTTACTTGCCCACCACTCACCTCCTGCTGTGTGGCCTGGTTCCTAACAGGCCATGGACCAATATCTGTCCATGGCCCGGGAGTTGGGGGGGATCCCTGTTGTACATGATAAATATACGTAATTTTATTTGTCAATTTTTAAGCAAATTTAATTTAAAAAGTGAAAAAAAGGAGTAAATCTTTGTGGCTTTAGATTAGGCAATAATTTCTTAGATATGACACCAAAAGCAAAAGCAACAATAACAAAAAAAGATATACATTAACAATATTCAGCAACTTTAAAATTAATGTGATATAACTTAGGTGAAAGACGCACCATGTAGGCATATCAGAAAGACAGTAGGGAAACATACAAATGACATTTTTCCCCCAGATGGTAGGAAAGTGCATGATATCCTATTCCTGTTTAAATTTTATTACTATTTTGTATTTTTTAATGTAAAAGCTTGGGAGTATCAAAATTTGTAATTTTCATAGGAATATATATATTTTTCCTTTTCAGATGTGAATCTGGCTACACTGGACAGCACTGTGAAAAGACAGACTTTAGTATTCTCTATGTAGTGCCAAGTAGGCAAAAGCTCACTCATGTTCTTATTGCAGCAATTATTGGAGCTGTACAGATTGCCATCATAGTAGCAATTGTAATGTGCATAACAAGGTAGGTAATGATGTAAGAAATATCAACTTTAAATTAGAGGCAGGCAACTGTTTATTTATAGATGCTTTGAGGCCACCAGTCTATTAGGAAAAATCTTATGATCAGTTCCCTGAGGTTTTCAGTGGTCTCTCCCTATCCTTCTTCTTTAGGATACGGGCAGGGACTAATTCCCAGTCTTACAGGTATATCTGGGCGACAAGCAGAGAGGGAATGAGAATAGTCAATGAGATAAAGGAATTTAGGGATCTGAGAACTGTATACAGTCTTTGAACACTGTATTCTGGGAAAATAATGTTAGTAGCAATCTTTTTTTTTTTTTTTTAAGAGACAGGGCCTCACTCTGTTGCCCAGGCTGGAGTGCAGTAGCAATTAGAGCTCATTGCAGCCTCAAATTCCTGGGCTCAAGTGGTCCTCCAGAGTAGCTGAGACTATAGGCGTGAACCACCCTGACTGGCTCAGAATTTCTAGAATGATCTGCACATGCATAGGAGATCCATGCAGAAGATTTTTAAGCCCTGCACAACTGCAAGGGGTTCTGTGCCCTAAGAACGTACTTTACTCACAGTTAGTATAGTAAGAAAGGAAGAAATCAGAGGCTGAAGATAGTTTTATTGTGATATCATGGTGTTAACATTACTTCATTTTCAGGATTGCAGCGATAAGTAATAAGCTTTAAAATTCTGTATTATAAATAAAATTATTCGTCATAAATTAAATGACTTATTTGGAGTGCAGTGGCATAAAATGGGTCTTTTCTAAACTGAGTAGAAATACATAAGTCAGACTGAACTGGGCCTGAGAAAAGTCAGAGTAAATCCAGCAAGTTCGTGTTGTCTTTGTGCTTCCCAGTCTAATGCTTTTCTTCCTGCTTACCTCTTTCTTTAAGCTTCAGTTCAGAAGTCTCATAAGCATCATTTCTCCACTTCCCTGCATTATTCTGGGCAGAGGGTTGAAGCATATCAAATACAGATATTGGCAGGCCATAATGGATTTGTGGCCCTTCTATCCAAGGTCTGGATAGAAGCCAGACCTTCAGTAGTCTCAGCCATCTGGAGCTGAGATGATAAATCTAGAAATGATAAAAAAGAAAAGGTTCTCCAAGTAACAGATATTTTTCATAACACCTAGGCATGAAAGTCAGTGCGCTTTATTTCACAGAACAGATGATCTGCCCTTAGGCAAGACTACTGAATATAAAATTGGACGGTAGATCAAAGTAGGGACATAATCATGTAACAAATAATGATAACAGAAAGAGAAGATAGGGAAAACACATTTAACAGCATGACTGGCTGTAGCCATTTAATATAGACTCAGAGGTTAAGTAATTTGTCTGTGGTCATCCGACTAGTAAGTGGAATTGTCTGGATTTGGATTCAGTTTGATTCCCATTCATTCTTTACACTGAAAGGTTCCATGTTGAGTCATCTTGGGAAACATGTTTGCCCAGTATGACCATTGCATGGGAGCAGGGTTCAAACTTGATTTTGTAGCAGTTTAGGGTTTTTGAGCAGGGGAAGGACTTGGTATAAACCATATTTTTCAGAGTATTAATGAGTCATCTGAAAAATTCATTGGAGTAGTGAACATATGAGGTAGGGGGAAGACCATTTAAGTCATTATTAGAGTTAAATAGGAGTGAGGTAATGAATGATTTGGAAGGCAGAAGGAAAATTAAGGTAAAGTAAGGGGAGATGTTTGAGGCCTGGAGATAGTGCCTTTATTTGAGACAGGGTCTCACTCTGTCATTCAGGCTGGAGTGCAGTGGCATGATCTTGGATCATTGCAACCTCCACCTCCTGGGCTTATCTCAACCTCCCGAGTAGCTGAGACTACAGGCATGCGCCACCATGCCTTGCTAATTTTTGTATTTTTTTTTTTGTAGAGACTGGGTTTGGCCATGTTGCCGAGGCTGGTCTTCAACTCCTAGGCTCAAGTGATCCACCTGCCTCGGTCTCGCAAAGTGCTGGGATTGTGCCCAGCCAGATAGTGCCATTTTTAAGAGGATCAAAGGATGTCAGAGTCAATGAGAAACAATTCTGAGTTCAACCCCTTCATTTAGAGAAGTTGGGAAACTGAAGCCCTGAGATAAGAAGTACCTTGGTCTAAGGTCCTAGAGCTAGGAAAGCCCCCTTACAACAGTCTTTTACCCAACTCTTTCAGTGCTATAATGCTCAACTACTCAATTAAAATTACCTGGCAGGCAGTTTTGAAGTAGGTACCCTCTAGTTTATACTCCAGATCCCTCCTTGTTGCCCTCACAGCCACTTAGACATCACAGTGTATTTCTAACTATGTCACAGTGTCTTTACTGCCCACTGTCTCTACGATTGAAGAGTCATCTCATTGAATTTATCACAGATTTCTCCTGGAGGCCTGTCTTTTTATTATGGTATTTCCTCCCCTAGAATGTCTTGCTATCTTGGATTTAGAACATTTATGTACTTGGATTTATTTCCATTGAGTTTTTAAGTATCTCTCCCACACAGTCCATTATGAGACAGCTGTTGACATATACCGTGGCGGCTGTCACATGGGAGGAATCTTCTTTAAAAGGATGTTCCCACTGACCTGTTTATCAAGACTGCATGAGTCAATTTTTCTTTTTTTCTTCTTCTTGGAATCGCCTTTCATATTTTCAGACTCATAGAATGACAGATTGTCAGGAACCTTGAACATCACCTTAACTAAACGCCCTGATTTTATGGATTTAAAAACCATGGCACTAGGAAATTGGAATTTTTCCAAGGTCATGGTGAGTTAGTGACAGTACAAGAGGGTTGCTTGATCTGTCAGCTAGTTTTCTCATTTATGAAATGGAGATGATTCCAACTCTGTCTACCTCACACTTTTAAAATGAGGATTAGTGAGGTAAAACCATATACAAAATGGAAGTATTGTCAACACTTTTAGTCAAGGCAAAGCTGTACTCTTTGAAATCGAACGAAATGAGGAGTACTCATTGTTATAAGACTTTCTTTCCATTAGGTTGTAAATTTCTTGCTGGCAGAGATTTTGGAAGCTAGTCCAACTCCTAATTTATTTTTTACATATAGGAGAATTGAGGTTGCACAGTTAGTTATTAGCAGAGCCCAGAATTCGTCTTAGCCCCCTTACTCCACATTGCATAGCACAGCATCTTGTGTTTGCAATCTAGTGTGCAGGCACAAGAGCAGTTCCAACCCAGTGAGATTTGTACTGCTGTTGAGAAACGTGGTAAAATGAGAGCAGAGTTAAAGAATGTCCCTTATCCTCAGTGTGGCAGTTCCTTATGGGCTTCTGTGGTTTGCCCCAGGAGGGTGTGGACAGCTTCTTTTGAGTCATTGTCTAAAATCAGTAGACATTCCTATGTATTCATAGCTGAGGTTAATAAGCACACTTCTTCCTGATTTCTCCCTTCATCTAAGCTCTTCTTGTCATTTTAGAGCTGTCTTCTCATAATGCACAGGGAAAGTACATAGGCCAGAGTCCTTTCTCCTGTCAGGGGTTTCATGTTATCAGTCACTGTGACTAGGGAGTTTCTAGGCTGGAGGAAGGGTGGGATATCTGTCAGGGATGCATACATAGTAGCATAGACACTGGTAATGAGTTTTGCTTGTGCCAGTACCTATATTACATATCTAATCCTCTCAACTTCCAGGTTTGTAGAGGAGGTAGCAGTCTGAATTGTGTTCATCTTCATCTTGTCTTGCAACAGATACCATCTCATTTCCCTTTCATGTAATTGCTTGCAATGTGGCTTTATGTGCAAAATGTGTATTACTTTGGAAACATTTGAAATATCCTGAACAAAATCATCAAAACAATATTTTTCTCTCTTTCTTTTTTTAATGCAACAGAAAATGCCCCAAAAACAATAGAGGACGTCGACAGAAGCAAAACCTAGGTCATTTTACTTCAGATACGTCATCCAGAATGGTTTAAACTGATGACTTTTATATGTACACTGACCATGTGATGTACATTTATTATGTCTTTTTTTAAAGAATGGAAATATTTATTTCAGAGGCCTTATTTTTGGACATTTTTAGTGTAGTACTGTTGGCTCGTATTTAGAATATTCAGCTACGACAGTTTTGGACTGTTTAGTAGTCTTTGTTTTATGTTTTTAAATACAGAAATTGCTTTCACAAATTTGTACCACATGGTAATTCTAAGACTTGTTCTTTACCCATGGAATGTAATATTTTTGCAAAGATGGACTACTTCACAAATGGTTATAAAGTCATATCCACTTCTTCCACAATGACCACAGCAAATGACCAAGCATGAACTAAAGGTAAAGATGTTTACAGATTACTTTTCTTACAAAAAAAATCTAGAAGACACTGTGTTTAAATAGATATTTAAATGTTTTTGAGATTTAGTAACTGATTTTTTAGACACTGCCTATCGCATGAACTGTAAAGCTGTGTGTATTAGGTGTAAAATATTTATAAGATATATGGACTGGGGAATTTGATTATTCCTCCCTTTGAAAAAATAGTCCTAATAATTTGAACAAATATGTTAGTAATGATGGAACAGATCAATGAAAAGTAGATATAGATATTGTGAAAATAGGCTGTTTAACAAACAGATTGGAATAAAGCCTATTCTACCAGTTAAACTACTTTAATACACATTCATTTTTAAAGAAAATGTTTGTTTTAACATAAATAAACAAATCGTATCAGTGTTTGTGAATAAAATACAAAAATGATTGTTAATGATTGGTGCTCTTAAAGTGAGCTTAAAATTTATCCAAGACGTATATCCAAATTTGTCCTGTAGTAATAGATTAATATTCATAGATTGTTGGTGTTTAAAGATCTGAAGTGTGAGTAGAATGTATTCAGCTGTTTAACATGTAGTTTAGATATTCAAAAGTATGCATGTAGAATTTAAAGAATATGTTAAAAATTATTAATTTTAATATTTTGTTTGGAAAAGCATGTTATAATATAATGTTTTCACTATATGGCCTCTGTTTTGGTGTGTTTATTTACCAAATTTTTTGATATTGGTGTTTCAGTATATTTAATATGTGAAATTAGTAGAAAAAGCAGATTTCGGTTCAGAATTCCCCTTTACTGTTACAAATACTGATTGAAATTATCTAAAGGCAAAAGCTTTACCCAACATTTGGAGTTTGCTTTTTTGATCATTTGGCTTCTAGGTTTAATATTAGTTACATGGTGGCTTTAGTGAACTTTTTTAAAAAGCTTTACTCTTCTACCCACACAGTCTTATTTGAGTCCCTTAGTCAGTCAGCAAGCATGTTTGGAACAGTCCCCGGTGCTTTGCAAGGGTTCAGATTGCAGAACAGTCACATATGGGTATTTGTAGTTATAAATACTTGACCGTTCTCTAGGGGTGGGGTTTCCAACTCTTTAAACAACCCTGTTGCCTGTTATCAAGCTGACTTTTTGCTCCAAGTGCCAGAATTGATTGTGGTTAGGACATCTTACGCTGAGAAATAAATAAAATGGAACATAATGGGTCTGCTTCAAATGCTGATAAAATCCACCAGAATCGCCTGTCGAGTGTTACAGAAGATGAAGACCAAGACGCTGCTCTTACCATTGTGACTGTGCTGGACAAAGTAGCCTCCATCGTGGACAGTGTGCAGGCAAGCCAGAAGAGAATAGAAGAGAGACACAGGGAAATGGAAAATGCCATAAAATCCGTCCAGATTGACCTGTTGAAGCTTTCACAGTCGCATAGCAATACAGGGCATATCATTAACAAATTGTTTGAGAAAACCCGAAAAGTTAGTGCTCACATTAAAGATGTGAAAGCCCGGGTGGAGAAGCAACAAATTCATGTTAAAAAAGTTGAAGTCAAGCAAGAGGAAATAATGAAGAAAAACAAATTCCGCGTGGTAATATTCCAGGTAAGCTTGCACTTGTGTTCAGCTTGCTTGTTCTAATCTCTTGCATCTTTTAATTGCCAAAAGTCATATCAGAGGTTTCCAGTGTCACATCTTAACTATTGTATATATTAATACAATGGAGTTCTGTATTAGCAGCAATCTCAGGATAAAACCATTTCTCTGTTAACCAAAGTACTATCTGTCATTTCGGTATTTTGAGCTTCTCAACCATTTCATGTAATATGAACTGTGGCTCATAGCTTAGGCTATTTCTTGCCTTTGAAACTTAATATTGGTAAGGCCCTTTCAGCATATTAGCCTTATTAGCATGAAGCCCTCTCATAGACTTTGAAAATGTTAGAACTAGAAGAAGACTCAGAAGCCTCTAGTTTAAAACACTTCTTTGTTCTCTAAAAGAAGAAACTGACAACCAGTAGCAGTGGTTTTTTCTGCTTATATGGAGAGCCTGGAAAGGCCTAAACAGTAGATATAAACTTTTCAGAATGTGATTTGTGTATTGGAATTTTTACATATAGATCACAATGATAGCGATTTTCCAATGAACAATGAGGCAATTATTTTTCTTATTATTATAGTAATACAAATATATGAGTCACATAAGTAGTTTCCTATGTTTGATTACAAAGTCTTTTTACTTAAGTGATTTAATATAATATTTTGTGTGTGGCATTGTGTATTGAGCTAAGTTCCCATATTATTCTGCGCTTGGCACTCATATTTTTGGAAATAGGAACATATTTATGGCAAATGCATAATATCTATGGTATATTTTCAAAACTCTTACAGTTAAAAGGAAAAAAATTGAACATTCCTTCACAGTAGAAAAGTGGGAAACTGTCATTATCAGGCAGTTTACAAAACACAAATAAGAATAAAATTCTAATTTCACCTATTTAAATGTTGGCAGTTATTAAAACCTATACCCAGAGGTTAATTTAAGGATTGGGAAAAAACACTTTCATATTCTGTTGGTAGAAATATTAATTGATAAAACATTTTTGAAAGGCAGATTTGGTAGTATGTATTAAGAAATTTAAAAATTCACAAACTTTTTGGCCCCAAAATTTATGTCAAAGAATTTGTTCTATGCATAAAATCAGGAATGTGTGTAGGAATGTTCACTGATGCATATAAAGTGTTATTTTTAAAAATGACACCTGTATTTTAAAAATGAGTACTTATGTACATAGGAAAAAAACTAGAAGAATATAAACTAAATGAAATAGGAACACAGTTGGATTATGTAGAGGATAATTTGTAAAACACGAGGGATGTGGCCCATAACTCCCCGTGGCATTCTTTACACATTAGGCAATTCTCCATAGCCCTCTGTTGACTGATAAGGTTACACTGGGATGGTGGAGTGGTATTTTAGGTCTGTTTTTAAGAGCCTGTAGGTTATTTAGGAAAAGTAATAGGAGAGTGAAGAGTTGCTTATTTCAAAGGTAGATAGGGCAGACTATGCTATTTGAAGTTCTTTATCATTTCCCTTTCCTTTCATGTCCCTGGAAGTCCTTCTATAGGCTTAAAAATTTGGGAAAAAAAAAAAAAGCCTGGGCAATGTGGCAAAACCCTGTCTCTACAAAAATAGAAAAGTTAACCAGGTGTGTCGTCGCGTGCCTGTGTTCCCTGCTACTTAGGAGGCTGAGGTGGGAGGGTCACCTGTGGGGAGGTTGAGGCTACAGTGAGCCATGATTGTGCCACTGCACTCCAGCGTGGGTGATAGTGAGACCCTGTCTTAAGAAAAAAAATTGAAAAATTGAAAAAAAATCAGTCACCTGATTTTCAGAGGCCAGTTCCAGTGTTAGTATATGTAGTGGGAAATGTAGTATCCATTCTTTGATTTGCCTTCTGAAGATGTTCAGAATTGTGGGTATATCTTACCCTCCACTGGCATGGGCGCATGGCCAGGAAACATATTTGGCATTCACGACTGCTGAGAACTTTTGTGCAAAGCAGTGGACTAAGTGCCAATTAAGATTTACAAAAGCAAGAGCAAAGAAGTTTCTGAAAAGTTTCCATTGACTCTGTTGATTGACATAACTCTTCTTTAAACTTTAAGATGTTTCTGTATTCACCTGTTTAGTCCCTGTAACTTACTGCTAATTGTTCCTTTCTTTGATCCCTTGTAGTTATTTAAAGCAACTGAAGGGTGCTAGTTTAGGGCACATCTCTTCTCTTGTAAGAAATAATGCCATGAAGATTCTGCATAATTAAGTTGTTCAGAGTAGCAGCAGTTCGTCAAAAAGTAATTGCTATCATTTATAATGGAACAGCTCGTAGAGAAAAGAATAATGGACATAGAACTCTGATTCAAAGATTCATTAGATGTTAGAAAGCTGTATACATGGTCACATGGTTATTCTTAGCAGTTAAAATTAGTTATAATTAATCATCATAGTTAAGGTATATAAATGGTTATATTGAGATTGCTCCTTCTGCTAAAATTAACTTGAAACCAAGCAATTCAGCCATAGTAAAAATTACCTGCTATTTCTTATACATTTATTATTTCTTTTCGAACATACTATATCTTCACTAATAAGCCTCAGACTTTTGTATATTCAGAATTTCCCTAGCTATATTAGTTTGAGAGCTTGTTTGGAAGTTCTAGCAGGGGAGTGCAGCTGCTTGTATACCCTTGACCAAAGACTGGTCCTCCTCTATCGTGGATGGTCATCCTCTTCGACCAAGCGTGCGGCTTCGAGAGGGACACACATGGAGCGGTGAGGGAGGAAGGGGACACCCACTTAGCCCAGCCAGATCAGCTGAATCAACCCTGGCAATCAGTGGGTTAACAGATGTTGCAGCCAATCGCCCTCACATCCCATAGCTATATTAGTTTGATGTTCAATCCAGCCCACAGTACTCTGAAGCACAGTATTCATTCTGTTACAAAAATGGTCTTTTTACCTGGAGTTTTATATTAAAAGATACAATTATATTTGGAAGTCAACTATAATTCAACATCTACAATCTTCAGTTATTATAACAGTCTATTCACCATTAGCTCATGATGTCGCTGTCTCATTGGAGTTGCAACTAATAGATCTGCGTAACAAGTACTTTTTTCTGACTCTACTCCTGTTTTGTTTTACTTTAAAGCCTGATTTTATATTATTTGTTGTGTACTTAAAGGAGGGTATGTGATTCCTGGGCTAAGCTATATCTGATTTCTTCACAGCAAGATTGTGTTTTTTCCCCTATCTAACAGTAATTAACTTTTGGCTCTTTCGTTTTCTAATTATACCCTCTCAGGCCGTGCCAACCCACATTGTGTTGCTGAAGCTACTCCCTGCAGCAGGTGTCAGGAAAGGAGAGGAATAATTTCGCTGCTTCAAACTGATTCATCAGAGAGCTATGAGACGCCCACCCCTGCCTTTTTTAGCTCCTAGACTCTCTAATCCTATAGCCAAAGAATTTAATTTTAAATAAGTATCCAAAGAAATAAGGTTCCAGGGATATCTTCTTGACTATCAGGCTGATAGGTTTTGGAATATGCATAAATGTGTTTTGTATATATTTATATATTTTTTGATTGAATAGATTTAATCTGGATCTCACGTGGGGGCACAGTTTCTTTTAGAAATTTTAACTCGTGGTTCAGTTAAAAATCTCATGATTTTTCAACTTTTGTCTGTTTAGTTTGAGAAATGCTCCCTATTCAGTTGGGTTCCTCTAGCTGCTGTGGTTGGGCTGGCTCTCAAGGTTTCCAGTGTGTGTCATGTCCCAAATCCAATTCTCATCCTTATTCTTTTGACACATTTGACACGATTGGACCTCTTTCTCTCTCTCTCTCTCTCTCTTTTAAAGAGACAGGGTCTTGGTCTGTTGCCCAGGCTAGAGTTCTACGGTGCAATCATAGCTCACTGCAGCCTCCAACTGCTGGGGGCAAGCCATCTTCCTTCTTCAGCCTTCCAAGTAGTAGGGACTACAGGTGCGCATCACCTTGCCTGGCTACACTTTAAAATTTTCGTGGAGGTCTCACTTTGTTGCCTGGGCTGGTCTTGGCCTCAAGTGATCCTCCCACCTCAGCCTCCCAAAATGTTGGGATTATAGGCATGAGCCACTGCACCCAGCCCCTCCCTTTCTCCTTGAAACTTCTTTCCTCTTGACTTCTGGGGTTACTCCTCTCTTTGGGAGTTCCCCCTGCCTCACTGGCTGATATCTGTCCTTTTTTTTCTTTTCTCATTTCTTCCTTCTACCAGTCCAAAATCCATGCTCTGTAACACCCATATTCAAAAATTCTTTAAAATATTTTTTAATAACATATTTGACAGCAAGACCTAACTTGACCTGAAATTATTCAGTGGAAAAACCTGACCTAAAGTAGCAGGAGGCTATTTCTAGCTTTTATCCCAACTTAGTGTGAATATTCATATTTTTTTTTGCCACAGAAATGTTTCTTCCAAGATCTTGCTGGGAATGTTATGTAATAAATCATATTATTTCCAAAGTCTGAAATATTCTGAATTCTGAAACACACCTTGGTGCCAAGGAATTCTGAGTAAAACAGAGCATAGACCCATTCACTCAGTTTCTTGGTGATCTCTTTCATCTGGTCTCATGACTTTAATTCCATCTTTACATCAATGACTCCTAAATTTGGGTGTCTAGCCCAGCCCTCTCTTCTGAATTCCAGACTCATCTACTCAGCTGCCTGCTCAGTGCCTCTGCCTGCATGGCTAGTGGGTGTCTCCAAGACAGCGTGTTCAGATCCCATCCTTCCCCTCCAGTCTCTTCCTCCTGCTGTCTCCCCCATCTCAATTAATGGCAGATCTATCTTTCATCTGCTCAGGCCATGTACTTGAGGATTGTTCTTGACACTCTGGCACTCCACATCCAAATCTAGTGGCAAATCTTGTTGGCTCCTACCTTCAAAGCAGCTCCGAATCAGACTGCTTCTCACCCCCAACCTGTCAGCACCCTTACCCAGTGCTCCCTTGCCTCAGTGTTCTCCACCTGTTCTCCCTGCTTCTTTTCTTGCCCCTACACCCTGTTTTCAACAGAGTGATGCTTTTATAATGTGGGTCAAATCCTGGCACTACTCTCCTGCAAGCCATTTATTCATTCATTCATTCATTCATTCATTCATTCATTCATTCATTTTTTTTAGACAGAGTCTTGCTGTGTCACCCAGGCTGGAGGGCAGTGGCACAATCTCAGCTCACTGCAACCTCCGCCTCCCGGGTTCAAGTGATTCTCTTGCCTCAGCCTCCCGAGTAGATGGGATTACAGGCATGTCCCACCACACCTGGCTAATTTTTGTATTTTTAGTAGAGACTATTTTGCCATGTTGGCCAGGCTGGTCTCGAACTCCTGACCTCAGGTGATCCCCCTGCCTCGGCCTTCCAGAGTGTTGGGATTACAGGTGTGAGCCACTGCACCCGGCTTCCTGCAAGGCTTTTAGAAGACTTCCTCTTATGCTCAGACCTCACCATTGGATACAGAGCATTGCATGACCTGGACCACCTGCTATCTCTCTTACCCTCTTGCCTCCCCTTCTTGCCCTTTCATCACTCTGCTGTCACCACACGGCCCTCCCCACTGTTTCTCTGTTCTTCCCAGATCTATACACAGCCTTCAGGTCTAGGCTTAGATGTCACCGTATGAATGAGGCCTTTCTGACCACTGTAGTTCAAACAGCACCTTCCTTGTCGCTGCATATTCCCCTTCCCTGCTTTAGTTCTCACCTTAGTGTATATCTTGCCATCTAACATGCTATATAGATTTTACTTGTTTGTCCCTCTCCGAGAATATAAGCTCTTTCACTCTTTTGTCTTCAAAGAAGCTTCACAGTTTCTAGAACCAGAAAATTTACTGGTTTGTGGTGTTGCTTAATAACTTTGTTGAAGGAAGGTATACACCTGTTTGATCCAATAATCATTTATTGAGTATGCCTACTATGTGCAAGACACTCTGATAGATGCTGGGCATAAAACATAAATAAGACACATGATCTCTGCTTTCAAGGAATCTGGAGAAGACCTCTGGGAGATACATATTTTTGAGTAAAGCTTCAATTCAAACTGTGCTAAATGTTATAAACAGAGGTATGTATGTGTAAATTTGAGATAGAGTTAGCCACTTGAGGAAGTTGGGGACACTTGAATTGATTATTGAAGAAAGATTTCATTTACAAAGCCAAAAAGAGGTGAAAGGGAACCTAAGATGTCAGAAACTTCTGGGTATGGTAGCATGTGCCTGTAGTCCCAGCTACTTGGGAGACTGAAGCAGGGGGATTCCTTGAGTCTCGCAGTTCGAGTCCAGCCTGAGTAATATAGTGAGACCCCGTCTTTATGAAAAGAAGAAGATACCAGAAATCACATATACATAGGCGTAGAGGGATGAAAACATCTTGTGCTTGAGGAATTGAGAGTGATTGTATGTTTCTGGGCTGGAAGAGTGGGAAAGTAGGTTTAGCTAAAGCTGAGGAGCCTTCTAATCATACTGAAGAATTTGAGCTCTTCGTTGAGTATTGGTGAGCTCTCCAAAGTTTAAAGCAGAGAAAAGATGTGATCAAAGCTATGCTTTAGTAATATTCTCAGAAAATACTTAGTTGATGTTCTGGAGGTAGAAGGATCAGTGAGGAGGCATTGCGCAAGTTCAGGACTGAGACGACAAGGGCCGGAATCAAGACATTGGTAGAGGGAATGAAGAAGGAGGAGGGAACAGATAAGTTGTTAGGCAGTATTATCAACAAAGCTTGGTGGCTGGTTGGATATGGAATGAGAAGGAGAGGAAATATTTGGGATTATGATTCAGGTGTTTCTATCTTATGTGGCACCTGGATAGGTGTTAGTGCTGAGAGGTACAGGGAAAGAAGTAGAAATGGAGAGGATGGTGGATGGGCCTTGATTTTTAGACTTGCTAAGTTCAAGATGACTGTGTAACCTCAAACTGTGGAGCAGTCTGCCCATCATTCACACATGTGTCTTCATCTTAGGAGAGAAGGAAAGTGAAGATAAAATACATGTGAGTTTACTTACAATTGGATCTGAAAAATGGAGTGGTTAAGGTTGCCCAGGGTAAGCCTGGGAGATGAAGAAGAGGAAAGGGCCAAGGTAAGAGAAACCCTAAGAAATGGTAACATTTAAGGAGCAGGCAGAGGATAAACAGCCCATGGAGATTTACAAGGCATGGCCAGAAGGTAAAAGAGCTGCTCTATAGTGCAAAGGAAGCACTAATATGCTTTGTTTTTTCTCTCCTTCAGGAGAAGTTTCGGTGTCCGACATCCCTGTCTGTTGTTAAAGACAGAAACCTAACTGAGAACCAAGAAGAGGATGATGATGATATCTTTGATCCCCCAGTAGATCTGTCTTCGGATGAAGAATATTATGTTGAAGAAAGCAGATCTGCCAGGCTTAGGAAGTCAGGCAAGGAGCACATTGATAATATCAAGAAGGCATTTTCCAAAGAAAACATGCAGAAGACACGGCAGAATCTTGACAAGAAAGTGAACAGAATTAGAACTAGAATAGTGACCCCGGAGAGGAGAGAGAGGCTAAGGCAGTCAGGAGAGAGGCTGAGACAGTCAGGGGAGAGGCTGAGACAGTCAGGGGAGAGGTTTAAGAAATCTATTTCTAATGCAGCTCCCTCAAAGGAAGCTTTTAAGATGCGCAGCCTCAGGAAAGGTAAGGACCGAACAGTGGCTGAAGGTGAGGAATGTGCCAGGGAGATGGGTGTGGACATCATTGCCAGGAGCGAGTCTCTGGGCCCCATCAGTGAGCTCTACTCTGATGAGCTCAGTGAACCAGAACACGAGGCAGCCAGGCCGGTGTATCCTCCCCATGAAGGAAGGGAAATCCCCACCCCCGAGCCTTTAAAAGTTACTTTTAAATCTCAGGTGAAAGTAGAGGATGATGAATCTCTTTTGTTAGATTTAAAGCACTCATCGTAAAGAGGAATTAAGTATATCCTAAATATGAATCTCCTAATCATGCAGTTTTAGTTTGAATAGTGTAGTCGTCTACATTTCTGTGCCATGTAGGAAAACATAAATGTATTTTTTTTCTTATATTTAAAATCTTGAAGATAATATAAATATTATTATCACTCTTTCTCATGGCAGCTGTGGATTTTTTAGTTCCTTTCTCTTGTCCACCAGAAAAATAGTTTCCTAGGTTGGGCCAGTTACGTGTTTGGTAAGGGCAACTTTGCGGCCGTCATTTGCAGGAGAACTCTAAATATTGGTTAGGATTAATATTGTGGCCAGCCTCAAAGGGGAATAACTCATGTGTGGGTTATATCGTCCAGATGTTCAGATCAACAGATTTGTTAGTAAATTAGCAGTCACACCCCTTTTTTGATGCTTTCACATTAAAAAATTGAAGTTTTGGACTTGAGCATTTGGCTCTAGTATCATAGCTTTACTTATAAGAAAACCCTGGGCAAGTCATCTGCTTATTCTCATCAGTAAAAATGGAGAGGGTTGGCCTCTGCTGCCTGCCTCAGAGGACTGTTGTGATGATCAAAGGAAATGGTACACATTCTGGGGGAACAAGAAGCACACCCAGAGAAAACAAGCCTCATCAGTTCCTCCAAAACAGAATGGAAAGAGTTACACCTTCTGAAAAAGCCCTCAGCACCAATCAATAAGGTCCTAGGTTGGAGAGAAACTAAAGCTGGTCTTCAGAAGCCTTTTCACAGAATCAAGAGTGAAAAATAAGTAAATGTTTGGGTGACCACTTTTTCATCAGACTAACTATATCTTGGGTTTTAGTTGGGTCTCAAAATGTTCCCCAGCCAGACCCTTTCTAATTTCCTTTTGATTAAGATCTTTGGTGGACTATAGCACTAAATTTGTTTAAGCAGTATGAGGCATAAAATTGTGACTATGTTTCTAAAGTCGGCCCTGATGCATTGGGTTTGGAAATGACCACAAATATTCCTGTTTTCCTGAGTGTACCCTTCAGGGTCCAGCTGTCCAAAACAGTGTTGATAGGAGTTCATCATAGCTGCTTTGGGAGGAAGCCAGATTCTCCTTATCTTTTAGCTTTAGATCGTGGAATCCAGGAAGTAGAACAATGTCTATTGTTGCTAAAGAAAGAAAGAAATGGGCCGGGTGTGGTGGCTCACGGGGAGTAATCCCAGCACTTTGCGAGGCCGAGGTGGGTGAATCACCTGAGGTCAGAAGTTCACGACCAGCCTGACCAACATGGCGAAACCCTGACTCTACTGAAAATACAAAAATTAGCTGGGCATGGTGGCATGCGCCTGTCCCAGCTACTCAGGAGGCTGAGACAGGAGAATTGCCTGAACCCAGGAGGCGGAGGTTGCAGTGAGCCGAGATTGTGCCACTGCACTCAAGCCTGGGCAAAAGAGCCAGACTCTGTTTCAAAAAAAAAGAAAAAAAGAAAAGAAAGAAATGGTAGTACTGATTCTGTACTTGAAGGATGTTTAATGTAGCATGGTGTTGTAATAGAGAAGAAATGATGAAATTGTTGAATTTGAAGAGTTGGGACAACGATCAGCTATCCCACTTTTTTTCTCACTTTCAGATCAGTTTTTGGATAATCATATGGTAGTTAAAATAATAAGTGTACACATATACACACAGGCATACATAAATCGGCTTTAAAATATTTGACTCAGTTACTCAGATGTTTGGGTTTGGGAGTCTGATTCAGCATCATTTCCTCTTCACCTTGCATGAATACATGAAATCATAATATCGTTCATGTTGTTACCTTTTTATATTGAAAACTAAAGTGTATACAACATTGGATAACACTTTCAAATGAATAATTTTAAAATGTTTTTATGACATTTTGGAAAGATCTTGGGTGCCTAATCACATATTTTCTTAAGAACCATAATAAATTTGAATTTAAGAAAATGTTATTACAACATTTGATGTTTGTGTCCTATAAATATTTTTACTAATAATGCAAACAGTGAATGTAAAGAAGTTACAAGCTTTTTCTTTTTTCTAGCCCTATGCAGAATAAATATCAGTTGACCTGAAATATTTTTCTGCAAACATTACTGTCATGGAATTTTTGTAAAGTCAGTTTGCTTACTGATTCATATATAACCAGACTTGACATTTTATGGAACATTTCACATATAGCTGTATTTGAATTTTGATGAGGAAGGAGTTATAACCTGGTCAGCTCTTCATCATGGTAGACTTTGTGCAACCCCAAAACACTAAACAGTTTCATGTCCCTGGAGGTTTATTGTAACCTTGTACTGCTTTCTTGGTACTAGGATTTTCCCTCCATGTTGCTCTGTTTCTCTACATTTCTTCCCATATTTGGGACATTCCAAATGCTACATTCATAATTTATTATTCCTTTAACTTAATTTTCTTGGTATAAAAATAATGGGCTGCAAAGTCACACGTCCCGTTTGACATCAGGAATATTCTAGTCAGTGTTTGTATTTTTAAAGTTTCAGATAACAGGGACAAATTATTTTACCTATTCATGTGTATTTTAGAAATTATACATACCAGATTTTAAACAGTGTATTCAAATAAAACCATTGGCAAGATTCCTTGCTCTGAGATAGAACAGTGTAGCATCTATAGACACCAGGGGGCATGGAGCCACTCAGGCTCTTCTGCAGAGTAGACAGGATAGAGTAGGGGGGTGCAAGTCTGTCTCCGGCACGCGATGATCCAGGTCTTTCCTCTGAGTGGGTGATAGCCTGATTGTAGCTTACAGGTTAGAGAAGCAGGGCAAACAACAAAGTACATGAAAATTCAAGGCCGGGTGTGGTAGTGCATGCCTGTAATCCCAGCACTATGGGAGGCCAAGTCGGGCGGATCACTTAAGTTCAAAACCAGCCTGGCCAACATGGTGAAACCCTGTCTCTACTAAAAATACAAAAATTAGCTGGGCGTGGTGGTGTGCATCTGTAATCCCAGCTACTTGGGAGGCTGAGGCAGGAGAATCACTTGAACCCGAGAGGTGGAGGTCGCAGCGAGCCGAGGTCACGCCACTGCACTCCAGCCTGGGCAACAGAGCAAGACTCCTTCTCAAAAAAGAAAAGTACATTCAGCTTGCTGAAAGTGTACTTGTGGTGTGTGCGTGTGTGTGTGTGTGTGTGTGTGTGTGTGTGTGAATTCCCCGAAGCCTCCATAAATTAAAACTACAAATCGAGATAAAAATACAAAACATTTTGATTTCATTCTTTGCCTTCTATGCACATTAAAGGGTTTGGTTTAGACCAAGACCTGCAGTTCATTGTGATTCTATCAGCCAAAAAGCATGAGTCATGTTATGTAAAATATTCCACAGAACCATTGTTAACTGTGCAGTTCCATTACATGAAATCATTGGGCTCATTTTTCTTCTGAGACATGTTTACTATAGCTTATTGAACCCTGCTAAGAAAATTATAGATCATGATTCCCAAATCGGCGGAATGACCATTATGGTCTCATCCTCAATTCTGTTTGAATTTGGGGCATGGTAGTCCCTGGTCTGTAGTGAATAAAAAATGAAAAAGCTTCATGCTAAATTTTGTGTGTTGTTCTTGTGGCCACCTCTGAATTATGTTGTCTCAGGATTTGTAGTTGTCCTTCCCAGGTCAGAATCCGTCATTGTATTTCATAAGCAGTGGCTAGGAGATCTAGGATAACCACTTCACTGTGCATCTCTTAGGACATCCAAGGATCCCTAAGAGGGTAGACTGGAGTGGCAGAATATCCTCACAGTTCGAATTTACTTTGGGCATCTTCCTAAAATCAACCACTTTTGTCAAAATGCCCTCCCCAAATGCTCTGCCACTTGATGCCTTTGCCCATGCTGTATGTCTTGGAGCACCACTTTTCCCTTTCATTCTGAGAGATGCCCTTCAAGTTCACTGAGAATGTCAATTCCCTAATTTTAGCTTTCCCTGGTCCCTTCATCCCTAGGAAGGGCAGGACTAATTACTCCATATATATATATGTATGTATATTATATACACACACACACACAGATTCTGTGTGAGGCACTGAGGATTCAAAGATGAATGGAAGTTTCTTCTTCCCCACCCTTTCCTATCTCATATCTCAGGCTCACAGTTCTGGGAGACAAGCAAAAATTCAGCAGTGTGACTAATGCTATGTATCAGATGATGGAACTGCAGAGATGGAAGCTGTTTATAGAGTATTTTGATTATGCATCTGCCCTAGCACTTGCTCTGTATTGCAGTTTATTTGTGTAACCGTCTTCTAGACTAGACTGTGCTTCTTAAGGTCAGGGACTGCATTTTACTCATCTCTGGGTCACCAGCACTTGGAGAGCTTCCCATATGCTAGCCGTCTGTATTATGAATCCAGAGATGAAAGATGTGGTCCCTATGCTTAAGGAACTTTTCTCTTGGTGGAGGAGATAGACACATCATGTTCAGATTTCAGAAAGGATGATAGGGGAACATAGAGGAAAAATATCTCACAATCTGGGGAAATGCTGTCGGGGAAAATTAGAGAAAGTGTTGCTTAACTTGGCATTTGAAGGCCATTTGAGTCAAGAATAGAATTCAAGGCAAGATGCAGCTAGAGAGATTGTATGAGGGTGTTCTGAGATTTATGTCAAAGGCCATAGAGAGCCATTGAGAGATTTTAAAGGATGTCCTATTAACAGACCAGAGGCAGATGGACCAGTTGGTAGGGGCCTTGAATTTTTCCAGGTAAGAGGAGTACCTGACGTAAAGCAGTAACTGAGCTATGGAGGGGTCAGCTTGACTGCGGGTTGTGATGAGAACAAATGACTGCCAGGTTTCTGAGTTGGGTAAGTCGCAAGTGGTGCCAGTCACTGGGACAGGAAATATAAGACTGTTCTAAGACAGCGCTCTCCTGATGCTTCTGTCTCTCCTCTGACAGCCTTCGTTACTCATCCCTCAGTGTGGCTGAGGAACAAAGGGGAACTATGCCCATACTCCAGAAGCTCCCCCACTAGAGGTCTGCCCATTCCAGCCATTGTGGCTTCTACCTATGCGTGAAGAAGCCTCCTTTGAAGGGACCCTTTTCTGGCTGTAGCAGGTGCCTTGCCATCTCCACCAAGATGCGAAAGTCCTTGGGAAGCAGAACTGCCTTGCAGATCTAAGGCCATTGTGAAAGCTGCTTTCCCATCTGTGTCTTTGCTCAAGGCCAGATTTCTGTTTGTTTCTGTTTGTGTGGTCCAAAGAAAGGCTACTTCTGATTCTTAGAATACATTATCATTTTCTAATCTCATTTTTTGTTGCGCACCTGAGGATTCCAGACAAAGCTGTGCTTTATTCCATCTGACATCACAATAACAGTTGCTGTGACCAGCTGCATAGGTCAGGGCGAATTGCCCAGGTTCATGTAGCTTCTCCAGTCAGCTGCCATGGTGGCAGCAAGAGCCTTGATCTCATTGCGGGTACTTGTTTTCAAATTTAATCCCTCCATGTCTGTCATATTAGATATGAGTCATGGCATCAAAAATGTATCAGGGGTTCAAGGTGGGTTTGATGCAACCCATTCTTCCCCTCCAAGTTTCTGGCTTATGGAGAGTTCATACAAGGATTGTCAGGAAAATGGAGAACACCTTTATTACAACCTGAGCATGTGTTCAATAAATCCCCCCAAAGTAGGGCATTTAGTAAATTCAGCTGGCGAATGTGGCTTAGGCCCTCCCTGGGACCTGCATGCTCTGATGTGGTGGCAGGTAAGCAAGGTTTACAGAGCAGGAGCAGAGTCCATTTTCTCAGCTAGCAGTGAAGCCTGCAGGCTGGCTTACATCCTCAGCCAGGGAGAGCAGTGGGGATGGAGTGCCTTCTCTCTGTGGTCACCTCCAACTCAAGTGAGCAGGTAGCAAGGAGAGGGGAGGTTGAGAGGCCAGGGCCTCTGGGTCAGAACATGGGGTCCAGTTTGAAGCCACAGCCTCGTTTACACTTCTCAGGCCTACTATGCAGAGTTAAACAGAGCCCACCGAACCTAGCTTCTCCATGTTGAGCATCCCTAATCCAAAAATCCGAAAACTGAAATGCTCCTAAATCCAAAACTTCTTGAGTGCAGACAAGACACTTTAAGGAAATGCTCAACCTGTATAATGCCAGATTTTAAAATCCAAAAAAATACCTGAAACACTTCTCCCAAATACTTGTTCCCAAGCATTCAGTTACAGGATACTCAGCCTGTAGTGCTTCTGAGGCCTGTTGTGGACACACTGAATTGAGGTATGTGTATCTTCAGCGGGGACTAAGTGAGGACCAAGTGGAAGGTAGGCAAGTTGGATATTACAGATCCCAGCCCAGAGATGAAGGCTGGATAACACATTTGTTGAAGTATAGGTAAGTGCAATTGTGAGTTTTCATGCAGTTTGAAAGGAGTGGATAAAGATCTTTTATTTGTCAAACTTCTAAAATATTCTTCTGAACAATTGTTCTTGGGCTCTTATTTCAAAAATTATATTCTGCCGATCAGTCTGTGACTGTCATTACCTTTGAAAGGGCAAACAGTCTCTATCCTCATTCTGGTTTCTAGCCCCTGACAGAATCACTTTAAGAGGAACATTACATATTGTTCTAAGCTGAAATTTAGAACTACAATGAGCACCCCAGTCTGAAGAGTTTGGCTCAGTTTGTTACTGTGAATCCATTGAGGTGTTACTCCTGGCTGAAGTTTGCTTAGTATTATAAGGCAGCCAAGGTCTCCTAATAATGTCATGGGCCAATATTCATAACTTACCAGGGTCTAACTAGGCTTTTTATCTGAACAGGCTTTAAATTCTTAACAAACTCTGGTTATGTAAATATGTTGTTTTAGGGTAAAATAAAATCATTGAAATGAGTGTATCACTTTAATTGTATTAGCACCTTTCAAGTGGCCACATTTGTTTGGACAGTTTCCATAAGGAGAAGAAATAAATTAACAGAATTATGCATGGGATGTGTTCCTTTCTAGTTGAAAGCAATAGAGAAGATTTCAGAGGGAAACATTCATATGCTGTCAGCTGCCAAGAAATAGGACTATGTTTTCTTTAACAGGAGAGAAAATATCTCAATAAATCATAAGTTGTAGATTTATTAGGAAAATGCACCAACATATTCTCTGCTTGAAACTCATACATCTTACATAAAAGGAAATCATCAGCATTTCAGACACACCTTTATTGGAGGGTAAAATCACTTAAGATTTGCTAGTTGCCTATTTTTTTTTAAATCATCTTTTCCAGCGATAATCTGCTAAAGCATCCTTCCACCCTCTTTGTTCTCCAGAATGCCAGCCCCTCTCAAGGTAGAGGAGCTGGAGAAGCCTGCACTGGGCCGGGTCCAAGGAAGCCTGTGATTTACTCCTGTGGCTTGATGAGACCAAGTCATGTGCATATGGTGGATTATTTTTCCTGACTTTGTCTCAAAATTTTGTGTAGAAAGGATGACGATTATTAGATTTTTCCAGGGGCTTGAGGTATAGGAATGGGGAAAATGTATATGGAAATCATGAAACTGAATTATGAGTTTTGGCAAAAAAAAAAAAAAATTCTCAACTGTGAATTAAAGGTCAAAGGCAAGGACACTGTAAATTGTGCACGAGGAGGAATCTGGAGAAGGGTAACCTGTGGCCTTTGTTGTCATTGAGGACAAAGCAATATAAAATGCAAAAGAAAATGGGTTTAAATGCAGGAGAAGGGAATCGGGTTAATCACAAAGAAAGGCTTCTACTCCAGAAACATTTCCATCTGGAAGTTCTAAGAATTGAATGAACAATCTTGTATTTGGAGGCAGAGTAGTAAATGAAGTGCCTAGAGAGAAATGCTGCATGCATCGTGTTTCTGTTGTTTCACAGTTTTTCATAGTGGGCAGCCATATTGTTGTATTCACCTCTCTCCCCTTATTTTTATTATTTATTTATTTATTTGTTTATTTTTTATTTTTCTGAGAGTCTCACTCTGTCGCCCAGGCTGGAGTGCAGTGGCGCAATCTTGGCTTACTGCAAGCTCCGCCTCCCGGGGTCATGCCATTCTCCTGCCTCAGCCTCCCGAGTAGCTGGGACTACAGGTGCCCGCCACCATGCCCAGCTAATTTTTTGTATTTTTAGTAGAGACAGGGTTTCACCGTGTTAGCCAGGATGGTCTCGATCTCCTGACCTCGTAATCCGCCCTCCTTGGCCTTCCAAAGTGCTGGGATTACAGGCATGAGCTACCGTGCCCGGCTTTTTTTTTTTTTTTTTTTTTTTTTTTAAGGCGGGGCTTGCTCTGTTGCCCAGGCTGGATTGCAATGGTGCAATCATAGCTCACTATAGCTTCCATCTCCTAAGCTCAAGTGATCCTCCCACCTCAGCCTCCCAAGTAGCTGGGACCGCTGGGACCACAGGCACATGCCCACCATGCCTGGCTATTTTTTTTTTCTTTATTTTTAATAGAGATGAGGTCCACTATGTTGCCCAGGCTGGTCTCACATTCCTGAGCTCAAGCAATCCTCCCTCCTTGGCCTCCCAAAGTGCTGAGATTACAGTCATGAACCACCACACCTGGCCCAAATATCTCTCTCTTTGTAAAGCCTTTTAAAATTGTGTGTGCATTCTCTCTGAGATTCTGTAAGTGCAAAGGACTTACTGTGTTTCTCATTAATAAGATAATAGGTATTTAATAAGTATCTACTGAATGAAAACAAATGAATGCCTCTTTGAACTATGGCCTCTTCTCTGAATATCTTTGAATTAGGATCATTTATTTGATGAGTATTTTTTTGAGCACCTCATGTAAGCCTGGCACTCTTCTGGGAGTAAAGTAGTGAACAGAGCCCTTGCTTTCAGAGATTCCAGAGAAAGACTAGTAACTAGCAAATATAGTTATGTTAGGTGGTGATAAGTGCTGTGAAGAAGAAGTCAGGTAAGGGGGCAGGGCATTATGAGTGGGGGTGGTGCAGGCTGCCACTATTTTAGAAAGGGTGTCTGGGAAGGCCTCTGGTAAGGTGACCAGAATGTTTGAATCTGATAGTCAATCATTCAGGTGTTTCTAGGAAGAGTTTCAGTTGTGTTCAGGAGACAGTGTGGTTGAAATGGGTGAGGTGGGAAATGTGGGAGCAGTGGGGTGTCACAGGCTGTTCTAAGGACTTTGGGTTTTACTCTGAATAAGAAGGGGACCCATGGGAACGTGTTAATAAGAACGACATGATCCAATTTATTGTATTTATACTCATTGAAAAAATCCAGCCATTGTGTTCATACAAAAAGCTAACTACAGTTCCTGCCTTAGTTTACACTGCAAAGGAAATCACCCAAACTCCCAAGAGTTTTCCATTCCATGTCCGCTCCCCAAGCCTCACTGCAGCTCAAGGCTGACATCTAGTGGATATTTTCATAATTGTTTATGCACAGGCAGTTTGGAACCTATCCACTGTTGATTAAGAATAGAGGGGGAGGTTTAACATAGAAAATGACAAACTGGATGATTAGTAGAATACTATAGTGGATTTGCCTCTGTTTTTCTTTGGCTCTTATTCAGGTAAATTTACATTTATCTAGCATATATTAGCATGTATTAATTAGAACTGGGTTCAGCTGCCAGAGATTAGAGCATCAAAATCATGGGTTGGTAAGGAGGAGAAAAAGTATCAGGTGGGATGAGCCAGGAGAAAGTGTCCTGGTTCTAGTGGTGGCCCTCAAAAGGTAGCTGTGGTTTGTTGTATGGTGTTAAGGGTGTGTGTATTCCAAACCTGTGCTTGCATCAGGTTGGCATTGATTTACAAAGGGAGTCTACTGCGAAGGGCATGGTGGAATGAAGTTGAAGGCAGCATGGAGATACTGAAAGTTGTGAAGTTGAGTGTTTCCAAAAGCTTAGGTGGGGTATTTCAATGTACAATCAAGAGCTTTAGCTTTATAACTGGAAAATTGGCTTGTGTCTGCCATTTACTGACTGTGAGAACTTGGGCAAATTATATTATCTGAACCCAGTTTCTAAATAGTACCCACCTAAAGGTGTTATATTAAGCCAGATATTTTATGGAAAGCACTTAGCAAACTTAGCATTTAGTAAGCAGTCAAAAATAGGTGTTATTGTTTAGAGGGACTACAAGTAGCCTCTAGAGATAGAGAAGGAGGCTATTGTAATAGTGGTATCTGCATTGCATTTTTTTTTTTGCCCCTAGCATTTAACATTAACAGAATTTAACTTGAAACCATTTTGTAGATGTATATGATCCATTTTATCGACTTTGATTGTGGGCAGTTGCATATTCTGCTTAACTAAGACATAGCATTTTTACTACACAGAGATCACAATCATCCAGTGGCTTTCATAACTTTTAGGAAAAAAAGGCTCAAATATGAGCTCTGCAAGATCTGGCTCCTGCGTGCCTAACTTCATCCTCATCTCTTATTCTTCCTCCTCAGTTTCTGCATTCCAGAGACTGGCCTCTCAGGTCCTCCAATGCCTTATCCCACCTGTCTTAGGACCTTTGCATAGGCAATTCCATTTGCCTGTCCACACTCTTCCCACTCCCCTCCCAACCAACTAAGAATACACCTAGTTAACTTCTATTCATCTTTCAGATTCCATTGAAAATGATACTTCTTCAGGAAAGCTTTCCCTGCCTCTACGTCACTCCCTGACAGGGAAAGCCTCCCCTGTTACACAATAAGAACACTTATTGTAGTTTAAAAATATATATTTAGGTGGTTATTCACTCAGCTAGATTGTAAACCTCTTGAGCACTGGCACCGTGTCTGCTCAGCCCATTGCTCTGTCCCTGCCATGGTGCCTCAGATAGAGTAGTCTGAAAAGGGAGGGATTTTATTTGAAAGTTAAAATGTAGAAATAGATAAAACACTTGGTGACCGAGTATGAGGGATGTAGTGGGTTCTATGGTGACAATCACATTCCCTCTAAGACTTGGCACTCATCCCTCCAGATGCTGGGAGTTTTGACGGCTGATGGCTCTCGCCCAAGTCTGTCTCCAGGAATTGCCCTCAGCAGAGAAAGCCACCTCACCCAAGGTCATGCCCCCTCCTGAGAGCAGCCCACATTGAGTGACGGGTTGACTGAGGGATATGTGTGTGGCTTCTGGCTTCAGCGTGGAACAGCTCTGAAGGACCTTCCTGGGTCCAGAGCTTGCCATAGCATTGGCTGAGGCCCCGGTTTAAACCTCACTAAGTGTTCAACTCCTTGTCTCTGTCCTTCATCCTTCAGCCCTCACAGGTGCTGTTCATGAGAGCATCACTCAATAAGCCACCTACAATATCTCTGAGTCTGTTTCCTAGGGAAGCCAGCCCACAGCTGGGCATGATGGAGAGGGAGGAGTCTAAGGTGGCTCCTGGATTTCTGGCTTGAGACAGCACATGATGTTATCCAGTGAGAAGAGGGACAAAGAAGAAAGTGTACAGAAGTTGAAGCAGGTTTGCTGGAAAAGATATGTTTTGGGGGTGCTAAGTCTGAGGTGCCTGTGGGATAGCCAGGAGTTTGAAGCTCAGAGGAAAGATCTAGACTAGAGGTACAGATTTGGGAGTCATCAGCAAGGCAAAAACAATGGCATTAAGGAGATCTTCACCCCATAAAAGTGTGGAGTGTGAAAAAAAAACAACTAACCAGGAAGCATGTGTGTGGGAGCCAACAGAAATGGGCAGGGGAAGGAAGACACACTTCTGGCAAATATAGTGATCAGAGAGTTTGGAAAACCGGGAGTGTGAGCATTGTGGATGACAGAGGGATTTGCAGCAGTTTCAGATAGATGTGTCAGGAGCTGCAGAGAGAGCAGCATGGAAAAGTGTTCATTGGGGTGCATGACAAGGTCGCTGAGGACCTTGCTGAGAGCAGTTTGAGTGGAGTGGGTAGAAGCAGCCAGATTCCAGTGAGTTGGGGAGATGGGGTGGGAGGAGAAGAGACAAATGTGATAACCTTTGATAACGCTCATGAGATGGGGACAGGAGAGGTAGGTAGGGACAGAGCACAGAAAACAGGAGGGTATTTGTAAATGATGGGGGAGATGAGCTGAAGGAGAAGGCCCAGCCAAGAAGGGGTAAAGCGAAGGCCGCAGGTGTGGCAACTGGTTAAAATTCTTGAGCAGGTGGAAGAAGACTGAGCAAACAAAATTAATCCTGGAGAGGAAGAACCAAATCTCAGGCGCCAGAAGTGACGGAAGCAGGTAACAACAGCCACAATTTATTATGCTCTTTATTTAAGGCAAGGAACTTTAAGTACTTTAACCCTCACAACAAATCTACTCTCGAATACCACGCACCTGGCCGGAGCTGGTGGGGCTGCGGAGGCCTGGCCTCTCTCCCTGGAGCCCCGCCCAGTCCCCAGGTAGGCGGGGGAGCGTACGCTTCCGGCAGGACAGGGTGGTTCCAGAACCCACCGCTCGCTCTCTTGAAACCGGCTCCGCGGGCAGGAGGAGGGAATTTTGCATTTCCCGCAGTAAGCGCGCCGGGGCCGGGGAGGAGCCACATGAAAAGCGCTAATGGCGTAACGCATGCGCGCCGCGGAGAGCCGGTGCAGAGCCGGCGCAGGCGCCGAGGTCTGCGGGGCGGGTGTTCTCTTCCCGTCTCCGTCAGCATCCAGGTTCAGCGCCCGGCTTGAGTCCGGTTTGTTTTGTAGGAATTCCTGTTAATTCCTGTCGCAGTCTAGCCGTCTACCAATAGGAAATTTGTTAAAATATAGTGATGTACATATGATGGGCTATTTTCGCAGCTCCACTCACGCAAACCAGAAATGTAAATTATTCCCTTGTCTTGGTCTCCTTATAGTTGAAAAATTATTCTCTCCTGGCACTGTTTTATTTATGGCTGGCGACTGAGCTGTTTAAGCTTTGCAGTTTCTGTCTCGTTGGTTGAATTAGACTTACGAACAAATTGTCCATATGATGACAAGAGGGCAATGATGACTGAGTTTTTCCTGGGCCAAGCGGGTCAGTGGTAGGGAGTTGGCTACTTGGAAAAAAATTCTCCTTAAGACACTTCCTCTCGAAGGTGAGAGCTCAGCAGAAGGGGATTGGGGCCTCACTGTCAGATGCGTAAGTTGAGGGGGTTGTCGTCAGGAGTCCGCTGGAGGGGAGGCATTGCTTGAGGAAACTTTGAAAGGGCTCCACAAGAAAAAAAAAATCAGCCTTCAGAATTTGCCACACCTGAAAGGCACCATTGTGCCTCCAGATTTCTTGGATGGGAATCAAACAGCAGTGCACTGCATCCCTTGGACTGCAAGCTCCCTGAGTGGTCCCTCAGAGGCCCTCTTTGGTAAGCTTGAGGTTAGAAGCAGGCCCCTCACACCACCTCCTTTGGTTGCGGGTTCAGCAGATCTCTCCAAAGGATCCTCACTTGACCTCTCTTCCCATCTCTATTCTTTGACCTCATATCTTCTTTATGGACAGATAATGAATTCAAGGTTTTAGCCAAGTCCTGCTTTGCAAATCCACCAGGATGGTCTGTTTCACTACTGATTCTGAGATATGGATTCACACTTCCAAATGAGAAGAATTTTAGTTTGGTACTGCAGCATTATGCAAACCAACCTACAAGCAGGCAACACTTTCATGGAACAAAAGAGCTTACTCAACTCTTAGAAACCACGACTACCCCTACATTCAGATTTGTCGAAATCCTGGTTCCACCAACCAGCAGAACTCAATTCTAAGCGATTCTTTCTCAGCACACTTCCTATGTGTGCCATTATATTGAGAGAGCTGAATTCAGAGGAGTATCAGGAGAGGGAAACTGTTCTTTTCCCACTGACCATCTCAGGCATATTCTTACAACTTCTTTCGTCACTCTCAGATAATAAAAATTTTTCTAGTTACTTTTAGACCCAAAGTAATCTTATTTGAGTTATGAAAATTCCAGTCCAATATCAAAATCATATAACAACTTTCTCTATCCAATTGTAAACTCTCCACCTTCAGTGAAGTCTTAAAAAAAATTAAACCATGCCAAAGGGTTTATTTAAAAAGCAATCGTCAGTAGTCATTTGCCCTACTTCTGTCTCCAGCCACGGTTCCACTGCCTAGAGGAAGCCATTCTAAACGCTTATTTTTGTGTTTAGTAAATTATAGTTGTTGATAAATTTACGTTAACCCTGGCTTCTCAGTAGGAGCTCAGGTTCTGCCACTTGGCGATTTAATGTTTGGGAGACGTGAGAGATGACTCAGAGACATGCTGTGACATTTCATCTCCTCACCTGGACTCCCCTCCACCCATTTTCTTGAGATAGCAGGTAGCTCGAAGGCCTGTATGAAGCCCCAAAAGGCCAGGATTGCTGGCTGTCAGCCAAAAGGCCTTATCACAAGCCATGCTCGCTGTTGTCTAGTAATTTTTTAGATCCAAAGGCCTGCCCTTGTGGGCCTGGCTTTGACAGTGTTTGTTTGCATGGATTAGGGAGTGGCTTTTGTTGGAACTGATGTTCTTGTTAAGCCTGGCAAGTCTGTCTCTTGGGAGCAACACTACTCCTTTGCCTTTTGTATACAAAGAATGGACTCCACACAGCTGGTGCTGCCAATCTCTTGTCTTACGACCCGTGTATGACAGCTGACTCTCCTTGGTCTCTTAGCCATACTTTTCGAGGCAGCTCTTCTGCAAGGTCAGTGAGCACAGGGACATAAGCCATGCTATTTGGTGTCCTTCCCATAATCCATTGGGAACTTGCTCATGTATTTGCTCCAGAACCTATAGGTTATTATCTCCTTTTCTTCCCTCTCCTGGGCTACTTAAGCACCCCCTAAGTGGTTTATTTGCATCCACTTTTACTCTTCTTCTAGAAAGCTCTCCATATAAGAGGCCAATGTTTACTGGTTATCAATTTATGGCCCCTCAGTTTCAAATCCACTCTGCATTGCCTTCTTTGGCTGGGCCCTTTAAATATGTTTCCTTTGCCACCTGGCATGTTGCTAAGCTTTGTCAGCAGAGGGCACTGGAGAGACACTGGAGGAGGAAGGAGTTTTCTCTCCTAGTTGGGCTGTATGGCTCTCTGGCTCTCTGCAGCCTCCTGCAGTGTGCATAGATTTCCCAGGGCCCACCTCCTGTGGGCAGCTTCACAGGTGCCAGGCTCCTAAGCCCAGCTCCTGTAGTGCATCATGGCCAGCAGCACCCAGTGGCCAGAAGCTTCCTGTGGCATGCTCTTGGGCAGTTTCATTATGGAGTGTCTCTGGAGAGTTACCTCCTTTTGAATGGCTTTCCCTGGTACCCTAGAGGGTGCATTTTTCAGTAAGTTCCACCACTGAGACTTCTGTGTTGTCCAGTAAGCCACGGCCATGGCGTCTCCAACAAGCTCCAGATCTCAGTAGGAGGCTCCTCCTCGGTTAGTGGCAGTTCCTTGTATCGGCTATGCTTGGAATTCTTTCTCTCTCTTGTCTCCAGTTTTCTTTATTTCCCACAGACCATCCCTTGTGACTCCAATTTCCTGTTAAAAAGCTAATAATCTTTGATGTTAAATTTTCCCTGTTCAAATTGCTGCATAGTTTCTGTTTCCTGATTGGACCCTGACTGATACAGGGTGTGATCTTTTTTGAAATGTAAACCTGATTCTGTCACTCTGCCTTGCATAAACTGTTTTATAGGTTCACTCTGATTATGGGATAAATAAAAAACACCTCCTTTTATGCCTTCTGAGGCCCTGCACCATCTGGCCCCTCTTTACCTCCTGGCCTTATCTCATACCAGAGTCCCCCCTAGCTTTTCTCCACCACATGGTTTTTACAGTTACTGCTTCTCTCTCTGGAGTCATCTTCTCTCACTTGTTCACCTGGCAAATCCCTACTCATCTCAGACCTCAGTTGAATCGTCTTATTCTCAGGGATGTCTTCTCCACCTTTCCTGCCTAGGCTGAATCCACTTTATCCACTTTCCAAGCATGATGGACAGCTCCTTCAGACCATTTTTCACAGCTGTAATTTTATATATGTTCGTGTAATTTTTCGGATTAATATCTATCTTTTCTTCTACAGTTGTAAGCTCCCTGAGGGCAAGGGACTATTGCTTTCTTGCCTCCCTGTAGAGCCCCTGTGTCTAGCATATGTTACAAAGAGCCTGTTACAAAGCAGGTATTCCAGCTTGTTCCAGTCTTGGTCCAGTGATTTTCCTGTCCATATTCCAATTTGCCACAAGATGGCAGGCTAAGCTACTCTGGTACTTGATATCCTTTGAGAAAGAAGTGGCACTTCAGGTTAAAATGCCTTTGAGTCGGGAGATCTCTTTGAAGTGAGTGTGATTGAGTCACTTAATACAGAAGACTTCTCTGAAAACATCCTCTGCATCTTCACTTCTTCACTGACCCAGAGGAACTGTATGGAATACTGTCAAGCAAGACAGCTTCTCTTCTGCTTGCTTGAGAGGCTACTGCATGATTTAGGAAACAGTTTTAGGGAAAGCACAAGAACCCTGTGCTCTGAAAATAGGGACACATAGGGAATATAATATTCACTGCTCTTTGTCTCACACTTTGTTTTGTCACTTTGTGACACTTTGTGTCACACACAGTTTTTGAACTGTGAGTTCTAAAAGAAAGGCCTAGAGAAAGAGGTCAGCAAACAATGGCCCTAGGGCTAAATTTCTCTCTCTACCTGCTTTTGTGAATGAAGTTTAATCGGCGCACAGCCATGCCCATTTGTTGGCATATCTTAAGTCTTTTGCACAACTATGAATAATTATTGTTACCAGAAAGGGGTCCCAATCCAGGCCCCAAGAGAGGATTCTTGGATCTCATGCAGGAAAGAATTCCAGTCGAGTCCATAGAGAAAAGTGAAAGCAAGTTCATTAAAAAAGTAAAGGAATAAAGAATGGCTACTCCATAGGCAGAGCAGGGCATTCCCGAAAGCAAGAGGAGGGATGCACCCAACTAGGTACACTTCTTGTTTATATTATGGGGAGAGGCGTTCTACTACAAGGGTTTGTGATATGGTTTTTCTGTGTCCCCACCCAAATCTCATCTTGAATTCCCAAATGTTGTGGGAGGGATCTGGTGAGGTAATTGAATCATGGGGCAGATCTTTCCCATGCTGTTCTTGTGATAGTGAATGGGTCTCACAAAATCTGATGGTTTTGAAAATGGGAGTTTCTCTGCACAAGCTCTGTTTTTGTTTGCTACCATCCACATAAGATGTGACTTTTCCTCCTTGCCTTCCGCCACGATTTTGAGGCCTCCCCAGCCATGTGGAACTGTAAGTCCATTAAACCTCTTTCTTTTATAAATTGCTCAGTCTGAGGCATGTCTTTATCAGCAATGTGAAGATGGACTAATACAGTTTGTGATAAAGGATTAATTTTCTTAATTACTATATTTTGCAGCAATTGATATTATTATCTTTAAAGCAAAATTACGAATGCTTCTGTTCTCAAGATATTGGGATATCAGGACATTCCTGAGTCTAGGTCTGTTTAGTAGATGTTACCAATTTGTTCCCTTAACCATAAGCATCTGGAGGCTAGGAATACCTAAGTTCCTGGGAATGCAGCCCAGCGAGTCCCAGCCTCATTTTACCCAGCCCCTATTCAAGATGGAGTTGCTCTGGTTCAAATGCCTCTAACATTACGACAGAGACCATATGTTCTGCAAAGCCAAAAATAATATCTGACCCTATAAAGACAAAGTTTGTGAACTTCTGGTCTAGATGGATATAAACTTTTTAGAAGCCTTAATATCTGGTTAGCATTTAACTGACTTTTCATGAAAAATAGTGATTTGACCCTTTTGGGGAAAGACTTGATTTCCTTCTGGGAAGCAAACGTTCTGGGTAGAATGATATAGATTCTTAAGGTTTCTTAGAAATGGAAATATAAATCAGAATTATATTTATAAATTCATTTCAGGAATTAAATATTCAAGTGTGCTATATCTTTTTCTCTTTTAAGTGGGAAAAAATGGGCCTATATGATGTGAATTCCTTATAGTTTCTTAGCATACTTTCCCACAGCGGGACTAGTAAGTCACTGTTATACTAATTACAGTATTCCCACCTTATCTGTAGTTTTGCCTTCTGCAGTTTCAGTTACCTGTGGTCAACCACAGTACAAAAATATTAAATGGAAAATTCCAGAAACAAACAATTCATAAGTTTTAAGTTGAGCACTGTGCTAGTAGCATGATGAAATCTCACGCTGTCCTGCTTCCTTACTTCATTTCATCATGTAGGCATTTTATCATTTCACATCAACACAAGAAGGGTGAGTATAGTACAGTAAGATATTTAGAGAGAGGGCATATCCACATAACTTTTATTACAGTATGTACACACACACACACACACACACACACACACACACACACACACATATATATTTATTTTGAGACAGAATCTTGCTTTGTTACCCAAGCTGGAGTGTAGTGGCACAATCTTGGCTTACCGCAACCTCCACCTCCTGGGTTCAAGCGATTTCTTGTGCCTCAGCCTCTGAGTTGCTAGAATTACAGGTGTGCACCATCACGCCTGGCTAATTTTTGTATTTTTAGTACAGATGGGGTTTTGCCATGTTGGCCATGCTGGTCTCGAACTCCTTGCCTCAAGTAATCCATCCTCAAGTAATCTTGGCCTCCCAAAATGCTGGATTACAGGCATGAGCCACCGTGCCTGGCCTATTACAGTATATTGTTATAATTGTTCTACTATATTATTGTTTTTAATCTCTTACAGTGCATAATTTGTGAATTAAACTCTATTGTATGTATAGGAAAAAAGATAGGATATATAGGGTTCAGTACTATTCATGATTTCTGGCATCCACAGGGGATCTTGGAATGCATCCCTTGCAGATAAGGGGGGGACTACAGTACTTCATTTGTCAAGATACTGATCAAAGGCCCTGTACTTCTATAGCTATTTACCTTTCATTCAAAAAGTATTCTTGGCATGGATGGTGTGCTTATTTATGAATTTGTAAGTACTCAGACATTGCTGAGTCGGAATAAGGTTAATTCATTTTGCAAATTTTACATAATCCACTTTAAATCCACTTTATTCAGAACCTCTTCCTGCCAAACATTTTGAGGAGGTAATGGATATTCCTTACCATTTCTTAGTGTTCTTATAAAAACAGGCAAATCAGAATCAAGCCAATTATCTTTGAGCATACACAGATAAGAGATTAGCTGGACCCTGTTAGGTCCCCTTAGTTTAGGCAGATGATTGCTATGGCTCAACAAGAGGGTCTGTTCCCCGGCAAGGTCTGCAGAAAGAAGCTGCCAGAAGGAGAATTCTGTGCTCATGAATATTTGTGAGAACAAAGCAGGCAGGCTGTCTATCCTCCCCTTAATGGTGCCTTTTTTGTAGAAAGTTTTTCAGGCATATAGGGGAATCTCTTTTTTATAGTCCAAAGTAATTATGCAATCAGATTTCCTATCTACCAAAGGATTGGGCATGGAAGGGTTTTAGAGACATATATTGTAGTTAAATGTATTTTAAAAATATTATATGTTATTTCAGAACCTTTTTTCCTTTGTTTGTAATGTATGGCTATAATTATTTACATGATACATATTTATGGGATTTTAGTGTTTAACTCCAGTTCTTGGTTGTTGCAGGGTTCTTAATGTTGATTTATGCTTCAGCATGCTGATTTCTTCAAGCACTTTAAACAATGAAGGTATTTGTGTTATATATTTCACACATTTTCTGCACACTTGCCTTTATGAGAGTATCTTTGCTTTTGTACATATAAAAAAGTGGGTGTAACATTTTGATTCACAACCATTCCTTGAAAAAGAAACCACTATAATAATAGTGTTGAAGGGCAATTAAAAATATATAAAATCATGACTTTCATACAGATATAAAATGAACATGTATAAAGAGTTTATTTAACTTATTAATTAATGAAGGAGGCAGTTAAAATGTTACAGTTGGTTCAAAGGGAAATTAAAAGAACCACACATTATATAGGAAAATAAAGAATACTGGAATGAATTTACAAATAGATGTAAAACAGATCTATCTATGAGGGAAAAATCAATGATGTTCTAGAGAAAATTAATTTACATTTTTATGGACAGAAATAATTTACATTGTTTTCTATTTTCTACAACTTACAGAGTTGTAAAATAGCTCAAAGATGATGAAAGGTTAATATAACCTGGAAGGGTGTGCTAGACAGACACTTAGTAATTTCTCTGGCTCATTTCAATGTCTTTAATAACCTTTTTCCTACAATAATAACATTAGTGTTTAGTATATCTGGTATAATTATAAACATATTATATATCTTAATAAACCTTCACCAAATTATCTTTATTGTAGAGATGAGAAAATGAAGACATTGAGATTTTAATTTGCTCACAGTAAAATGAAGGAGCTAGAATTTGAAAATACGTATGCTATCATATATATATAAAATCATACATATATATAAAATTATACAGATGTATAAAAGCATACATATATGTAAAATATATATGCAAAAAATTATTAAGACAAAAGAATGTAGTCTTTATCAGTGGTTTATGGGATATCCATGATTTGTGTTTAAAAAAAAAGGAAGATGTAGAGTAATGTGTGTAGAATTATTTTATTTCTATAAAAACAAACTTACATGGGGCAACAGGAACTCTCATTCATAGCTGGTGGAAATGCAAAATGGTACAGCCACTTTGGAAGACAGCTGGGATACTGTTATCATACATGACAGCAGTTGCATTCCTTGGTATTTCCAAATGAGTTGAAAACCTAGGTTCACACAAAACCAGCAGATGGTTGTATATAGCTCTCATCCTTATCCATATTTGTCAAAACTTGGAAGTAATCAAGATGTCCTTCCTAGGTGAACTGACAAACTGTGATACATCCAGACAATGGAATATTATTCCATTGTTTATTCCATTGTTTTTAGACAGTAGAGTCCTCCTAATCGTACAAGGAAGTAAGTTACCAAACTATGAAAAGACATGGAAGAATCTTGAAGGCTTATTAAAGAAGCCAATCTGAAAAGGCTACATACTGTATAATTCCAACTGTAGGACATTTTGGAAAGGAAAACTATAAAGACAGTAAAAAGATCAGTGATTGCCAGCATTTAGGAGGCAGGGGGGATGAAGAAGCAGAGCACAGAGGATTTTTAGGGTCAAGAAATGATTCTGTACCATACTATAACTGTGGATATGATATTATGTATGTCAAAACCCATAGAATGTATAATACCAAGAGTGAGCCCTAATATAAACTATGGACATTGGGTGATAATGATGTGTCCATGTAGGTTCATTGATGATAACAAATGGACCGCTCTGGTGCTGGATGCTGATAGTGGGGGAAGTGATGTTGGGGTGGGAGGAAGAGAGCATATGAGCACTCTGTGTACTTTCTACTCAATTTCTCTGTGTACCTAAAACTATTCTAGAAAATAAAGTATATTGAAGAAAACCAAGCAACCAACCACCCAAGCACACTGACCAAATAGCTAACCAGCAAACAAGCCAAACCCCTATGTATGTATTTACATGCTTGTGTATGTTTTTGTGACTGGGAGGAAGATGTGGAAGAATATTCCACTGGTTTTTATTAAGGATCAGAGGATGGGGGCAGGCTACTTGATTTGGATGATTGTTTTCTTTGTATACCTTTTGTTTTAGTTATTGAACAAGCAGGCATTTTTACCATGTGAAAGTTATTAAAGAAAAAGATTAAAACAAGTACAACTCTGTGGTTTTCCTTAGCAAGCTGTATGTATTACAAAATTTTCTTAAGATCTACTTTTAGTACTTAGCTTTGCTAAATTTTTGTTGTTACTCCATAAATGTGACTACAAACTATTTTTGGATAGAGTTTTTGTGATAAGGTGACAGTTTCTATAATTTCTATATTTACAGTTTTTTCTAAGGGAAGATGGACAATCATGACAAGGTGATCAATTTAATCTCCTTGAGGATATTTTTCTAGTTTTCCATTCTAACTGGATTTTGACATGGTGATCATTGTTGATCTTAGTTACAGCTGTTATAGGGAACTGGTAAGAGTAGAATCCAGATTGGAAAGAGTGGATGGTGATGAATAGATTGTTAAGGTATGTAACTCTCTGGAGATGTTTAACTGTGAAGGATGGAAAAGAGGAGAGGGTAGATGGGGCATGAATGGAGATTATATATATATTCCATTGGTTTTTATTAAGGATCAGAGGATGGGGGTGGGTTACTTGATTTGGATGCTTGTTTGATTGGATGTTACATGTATGTTCTACTTGATTGGATGTTACATATATATATATATATGATGAAAGATATATTAGGGTTCTCCTAGATATATAGATACAGAGAAAAAGATTTATTATGAGGTTTTGGCTCTTGTGATTATGAAGGCTGAGAAATCCCAGTATCTGTCACTGGCAAGCTGGAGGCCCAAGAAAGCTGCCGGTGTAAGTTCCAGTCCAAGCCCAAAGCCCTGAGAACCAGGTGAGCCAATGATATAAAGCCCAGTATGAGTTTGAAGGTCTGATAACCAGGGGGCTGATGGTACAAGTCTTGGTCTGAGTTCTAAGGCCTGAGAATCAGGTGCTGATGTCTGAAGACATTAGAATCAGGAGCGCCGATGTCTGAGGACTGGAGAAAATGGATGTCTCAGCTCAAGCAGTGAGGGAGCAAATTCACCTGCCTTTTTATTCTCTTCATGCTCTCTAATGCCACCAAAATTAGGGAGAGTGATCTTCTTTACCAGTTCAAATGCCAGTCTCTTTGAAAACACCCTCACAGAAACATCCAGAAGTAATATTTAACCAGCTATCTGGGCATCCCTTAGCTCAGTCAAGTTGACACATGCAATTAACTATCACTTTAAAGAAAGCCTTGGATCTGCTCAAATGCTGACCTGAAGGAGTCAGTAGAACAGAGAGAGTTGGGAAGTGAGGTTGGAGTGAGGGTGAGCTGTTATTTACTAGCTAGAAGACCCTGAGATGATGGGGGAATGGGATCCAGAACGTAGGTGAGAGGGATAGTTTTTAGACAGAAGAGTACTCCTAATCATAACAGGAGGGAAGGAGGAAAGGAAAGTTGATGGAGTTTTCATTTGATAGTGTTTTTTCTCTGTGGTAAGTAAGAGGTGAGATTATCTGCTGGGAGTGAGGAGGTTAAAGGGGAGATTAGATATTTGAAGAAAGTAGAAAAACGTTTAAGGTTTAAGTAGTTGTATCGTCAGGGTTCTTCAGAGAGTCAGAACCCATAGGATATATATTTATATATTCATATCTATATCAATATAAATATACAGTTATCCTTTGATATCTGCAGGGAATTAGTTTCAGGACTCCCCCACTCCATGGCTACTGAAATCCATGGATGCTCAAGTCCTGCACTTGGCCTTGCTGAACCTATAGATACAAAAAGTCAACCCTCTCTATCCATGGGTTCTGCATCCTGCAAATACTATATTTTCAATCTGAATACTATATTTTTGGTCTGCATTTGGTTGAATCCACAGATTCATAACTGGTGCATACTGAGGCTGGCTGTATAGATATATAGATATCTGATAGGAGATTTATTAGGGGAATTGGCTCACATGATTATGGAGGCTGGAAAGTCCCACAGTAGGCTGCCTGCAAGCTGGAACCCAGGAATGGAAAGGTAGCATGGCTCAGTCCAAGTCTGAAAGCCTCAGAACCAAGGAAGCCAATGGTAGTATGACTTGGTATGAAGCTGAAGGCCTGAGAATATGGTGGCGGTGGTGTTGGTGGTAGGAGGAATGCTGGTGCAGGTCCTGGAGGCCCAAGGCCAGAGGACCTGGAGTTCTGATGTCCAAAGGCAGGAGAAAAAGAATGTCCCGGAGAAAAAGTGAATCTGCCTTTCCTCTGTCTTTTTGTTGTATCTGGGCCCTCAGTCGATTGGATGGTGCCTACTCACATTGAGGGTGGATCTAACCCCACTCAGTTCACAGATGCATATGCCAGTCTCCTCTGGAAACACCTTCACAGACACACCCAGAAATAATGCTTTACCAGCTTTTGAGGTATAGTTGACGCGTAAAATTAGCCATCACAGTAGTGATAGTGCAGAGCAAGCTGACTAGAGAAGCCTTTGGGGATTTTTCTCAAATATGGTCAGAAGCTCAGGTATGTGCATGGGGCAGGTGGGTGATTGGACATATCCAGCACTAGAGTTTAGCCAGGGAAATGTGAGAAATTGAAAGAAATATGGAAATGATAGCTCTTGGCATGTGAATTGCACAGGGTGAGCAGGAAGCCAGGATGGGCTGATGGCTGGGAAAAAGTGGATGGGCCAATGGACTGGAAGTTCTGATGAGGTCAGAAGATTAGGAAGCTATGGTCTAACTCAGTGACTGTTGCTTCAGGAGATGACTATGGTGTGACCATAGGAGTGATGGAGGATAGAGGGGCTCTGAATAAAGTAATTCATAAGGGCTATTCTGTTTCAACAGTACTGCATACACTTTCCATAGTTTATTTATAACTTAAAAAACCCCTATATGCTTCCCTACATATTGTTAAACATGTAACATTTAAAATTTGCATAGTTCAGAAACATCCTCACAGGGAATGACACTAAAGAAATAAAAATGTTATCTTTATCCAGTGGTCATGCTCAGTTCTCCATGGCAATATGAACAATGGGAAAATAGTATGAAGATGAAATTGACTTCCCTGACATTTGAAACCTAAGAAAGTCTTATTGGAAAGAGAGGAAATGAGCGGACATTGATCCTTAGTGGTCCCACTAGGAGCTTTGCAGCTCTCTGCGTGACGTTTCTTAATCTTTTATTTCCCACAGCAAATCTGCCCTTCTAACATGTGGTTATCTACCTGGATCAGTGCTGGTTCAAAGTAAAACAGAGATGTAGCAAGTATTTTGGATGGCTTTTATTTCCCTTTCTGAGGTCCTTCCCTTCCTGCAAAGTCCCATTGCAAGGGAGCATATATACTAGGGTGGAAACATTTTTGGCCATTTTTGCAATTCACCCCACTGTGTTAATCCCATCTCTCTGTTGTAGTGTCAAGAGGTCTCTGACCACACAGGAGCATATTCCTGGGGCTCTTCCATGTTCATAGTCACATTTTCTGTCTCATAGTACTTTCCTATTCTTAGGGAACATCCTTTCAAGAGCATAAATCAAAAATGCTTCCAGAAAGGACTTTTACTTTCATTTAATTGAGGCAAAATCTCACATTAATATTTTGAGAATTTATAACAAGGAAAGGCCTCATTTAAAACATATATTTATGGATTTAAAAATAAAGATGTAAATAATATGTTTAACTCATAAAACCTAAAAAATGGACAAACATAAAGAAAAAAATATTCACCCACAAACATATTACTGAGTGTCTATCTGGTTGTTATTCCTAAGGGTGTGTGTGTGTTTGGGGTAAAGAATAGTATGGAATACAGGTCAAAAGCAGGAATTTGAAGTCAGAATACTTGGGTTAGAATTTGCCAAAGTAGGCAAGCTACAGAATCTCTTTGTTCCTCAGTTTCTGTACTTGTCAAATAGAATAGTATCTACTCACAGAGGAATAAATGAATATATGTGAAGAGTTTAGAACAGCGCATGACTCAAGATGAGTGCTTTGTACGTGTTAGCTTTTATCTGTTTGTGTATATCTAATTTCTTGGCTCCTGGTTTGTCCAGCCCCAGGGCATGCCTTCCCCTTTCAAGCCTGCTTTTTGAGTCTGTGCACTCAGTTTGCTGAACACTGTAAGTGCATCATTGACCACGTTCACCTCCCCAGTCATATCTGGGACTTTAAAGGAATTGTAACAACTTCCACAAATCCATCTTATCACCTTTGTCTCCACCTTCAGCATGGCAGGACTCCTGGCTGGTGCTCAATGTTCTACCAGCAACTGCTGTGTCCTGTGCTATTGGCCACCTCCTGGGGTTCCTAGACCACTGTCTCCCTAAAAATGAGGCTGCACCAATATCTTCTCTGTATTAGTCTGTTTTCACACTGCTGATAAAGACATACCTGAGATTAGGTAATTTATAAAGAAAAAGAGGTTTAGTGGACTCACAGTTCCACATGGCTGGGGAGGCCTCACAATCATGACAGAAGGTGAAAGGCATGTCTTACATGGCGGCAGGCAAGAGAGAGAAAGAGCCAAATGTAAGGGGAAACTCCTTATAAAAACATCAGATCTTGTGAGACTTATTCACTCCTGCAAGAACGGTATGGGGGAAACCACCCTCATGATTCAATTATCTCCCACCAAGTTCCTCCTACAACACCTGGGAATTATGAGAGCTATATTCAAGATGAGATTTGGGTGGGGACACAGCAAAACCAGATCACCCTCCCAACCATGAACACAATTCACTGTCTTAATTTCCCAAATCCCAGTCACAACAAAGCTTAGCATTTCATAAAGATGCATTGAAGAAGTGGAGATAGCAAAACATAAAAGTATTTTTCCTGTCACTCTTCAGCCCACTGCAATTTGGCTTCTGCCTCCTTTTGCCTCAGTTTTTAAGCACATATAAAACTAAAGAACAAGTACAGCCATGTATTGCATAATTGCATAATGATGTTTTGGTCAATGATGAACTGTATATTTAACGGTGGTCGTATAACAGTATAATTCTGTATTCCTTTTTTTTTTTTTTTTTATGGAGACGGAGTCTCGCTCTGTCACTCAGGCTGGAGTGCGATGGCGTAATCTTGACTCACTGCAACATCTGCTTCCTGGGTTCAAACAATTCTCCTACCTCAGCTTCCTGAGTAGCTGGGACTACAGGCGCATGCCACCATGCCCAGTTAATTTTTTTTGTATTTTAGTAGAGATGGGGTTTCACCATGTTGCCCAGGCTGGTCTTGAACCTGAGCTCAGGTCATCTGACCACCTTGGCCTTCCAAAGTGCTAGGATTACAGGCATGAACCACTGCACCTGGCCTAATTCTGTATTCTTACTATACTTTTCTATTTAGATATTTTTAGCTATACAAATACCATCATGTTATAATTGCCACAGTATTCTGTACAGTAATATGCTGTACAGGTTTGTAGCCTAGGAGCAATAGACTATACCATATAGCGTAGGTGTACAGTAGGCTATACATCTAGATTTGTGTTAAGTTCACTTTATGATATTCACATGACCACAAAATCACCCAACAATGAATTTCTTAGAATGCATCCCAGTTGTTAAGTGACATATGACTGTATAATGAATCACTATGTCCTACTACTCATCCTCAATAATTACTAGCGTTTTGCCAATCACCTTTTATTTATCTTATCCCTTTTCTGGAGTATTAGGAAGCAAATCCTAGATATCATGTTAGTTTACACATGATGCTTGAATCTGCATCTCTATTTAAAACTTTTAAATAATTTTTTTCTCTTGTTTTCATAGAGACAGGGTCTCACTCTATCATGCAGGCTGGAGTACAGTGGCATGATCATGGTTCTCTGCAGTCTTGACCTCCTGGGCTCAAGTGATCCTCCTGCCTCAGCCTCCCAAGTAGCTAGAACTACAGGCACACAACCACACCCAGCTAATTATTTTATTTTTTTTGCTGTGTTTCCCAAGCTGGTCTTGAACTCCTGGCTTCAAGTGATCCTCTTTCCTTGACCTCCCAAAGTGCTGGGATTACAGGTGTGAGCCACCATACTTGGCCTTAAATATATTTTTACATACTACCATGGCATTATAACACCCAACAAAATGTCTCAAGATCGTACAATTCCACCAGTCCATATTCAAATTTCCCTGCTTGTCTTAAGAAGGTCTGTTTACAATTCAGGATCCAAACAAGGCCAAATCAGGATCCAAACAAGGTCACGTGGAAAGGAGTGTTCTTCTCTTTTTCCTTCTTCTCCTGTTCAATGCTCCTTTCCCTGTCTTTTCTCACTTCCTCCTCTGAAATACAACTTTTACCATTTATTAATATGTCTGATACAGGAAAAAAGGGGAGCATCCACAGCAAAAGCTAGATGTCTTAAATCGTGAGTTATATAGATTACCTTTAATTCATGGTTATAACTAAAAATTCCCTGCCACCTCTATCCTTTCCAGAAATTGCTTTAGGATTCACAGATGAGGGAAATCATTGTATTCATAAGAATACTTATACATTCAAAAAGTGGTTTGCTTTCATAAAGCAGATTTTGTGAAAATGGGGGAATAATGACATTTGAAGGGAGACTCAAATATAACTTTTGAAAACAAGGGAAACCACAGTAAAGAAGGTTAAGTATGCATTTGAAAGTAAATTCAGATATATATTTATAAAAAGAAGTCATCACGGTATTCCCACGGTTTATAATTTTTAGAACAAGGGCTATAAAACTCTTGATTATGGCCATGCTGATTTTTCTCATCATTCTTCCCTCTGTGTAAGGTCAGCTCTGCTCTGTACATTTATGTTTATGTATTTGTTAGGCTATATTTTTACTTAAGAGACACTGGAGGGAGGTTGTGATAGTTTAGCTGTTCTCCGCACGTTGATTCTGACCACCTCCTCTGCCTTCCAGTAATGCCGTAGCTACAGTGATTGTATAAGGTAAATAATCTAATCAACACTTATTAGTGGTTTCTCATTGTGCTTGGAATAAAACCAAAATTTCTTAGCTTGGCTTATAAAGCTTGGATTATAAGCTTTACCCTCTGCTGTCTCTCCAGCTTTAGTTTGGATTATTTTTCTTTCCTTTTGCTTTGGGCCTGATGGTCTTCTCTCAGTTTCTACGGAATGTCATGCTCCTTTCACTCAATCTTCTCATTGGATTATCCAGCCCACCTCCCACCTTCCATCTAAGCAGGGTGACTTCTTAGAGAACCATGTTCTTCTCTTTCCAAGCATTTATCAAGCTTGCAATAATTAATTCACCAATGGGATTATTTGGTTAAGTCTCTGCTCTCCACTCAGGTGTTGCATTATATAATATATGGAAATGGTGGCCCTGCTGGCTAGACCACAATCTTTCAGAAAGTCAGGACAGTGTATATATTTGCTAAAATGGTGAAGCAGAGGTATCCAATCTTTTGGCTTCCCCAGGCCACATTGGAGGAAGAAGAATTGTCTTGGGCCACAATAAAATACGTGAACACTAACAATAGCTGATGAGCTAAAAAAAATTGCAAAAAAACTCATAATGTTTTTTTTTTAACTTTTTTTTATTACACTTTAAGTTCTGGGGTACATGTGCAGAACATGCAGGTTTGCTACATCGGTATACACGTGCCATGGTGGTTTGCTGCACCCATCAACCCATCATGTACATTAGGTATTTCTCCTAATGCTATCCCTCCCCTAGACCCCCAGCCCTGTGACAGGCCCCCGTGTGTGATGTTCTCCTCCCTGTGTCAATGTGTTCTCACTGTTCAACTCCCACTTATGAGTGAGAACATGTGGTGTTTGTTTTTCTGTTCTTGTGTTTGTTTGCTGAGAATGATGGTTTCCAGCATCATCCATGTCTCTGCAAAGGACATGAACTCATCGATTTTTATGGCTGCATAGTATTCTATCGTGTATATGTGCCACATTTTCTTTATCCAGTCTATCATTGATGGGCATTTGGGTTGGTTTCAAGTCTTTGCTATTGGGAACAGTGCTGCAATAAACATACATGTGCATGTGTCTTTATAGTAGAATGATTTATAATCCTTTGAGTATATACCCAGTAATGGGATCCCTGGGTCAAATGGTATTTCTAGTTCTAGATCCTTGAGGAATCATCACACTGTCTTCTACAATGGTTGAACTAATTTACAGTCCCACCAACAGTGTAAAAGTGTTCCTATTTCTCCACATCCTCTCCAGCATCTGTTGTTTCCTGACTTTTTAATGATCACCTTTCTAACTGGCATGAGATGGTATCTCATTGTGGTTTTGATTTGCATTTCTCTAATGACCAGTGATGATGAACTTTTTTTCATATGTTTGTTGGCTGCATAAATGTCTTCTTTTGAGAAGTATCTGTCCATATCCTTTACCCACTTTTTGATGGAGTTGTTTGTTTTTTTCTTGTAAATTTTTTTAAGTTCTTTGTAGATTCTGAATGTTAGTCCTTTGTCAGATGGATGGATTGCAAAAATTTTCTCCCATTGTGTAGGTTGCTTGTTCACTCTGATGATAGTTTCTTTTGCTGTGCAGAAGCTCTTTAGTTTAATTAGATCCCATTTATCAATTTTGGCTTTTGTCGCCATTGCTTTTGGTGTTTTAGTCATGAAGTCTTTGCCCATGCCTATGTCCTGAATAGTATTGCCTAGGTTTTCTTCTAGGGTTTTTATGGTTTTAGATCTTACATTTAAGTCTTTAATCCATCTTGAGTTACTTTTTTTATAAGGTGTAAGGAAGGGATCCAGTTTCAGCTTTCTGCATATGGCTAGCCAGTTTTCTATTAAATAGGGAATCTTTTCCCTATTGCTTGTTTTTGTCAGCGTTGTCAAAGATCAGATGGTTGTAGATGTGTGGCATTATTTCTGAGGCCTCTGTTCTGTTCCATTGGTCTATAGATTTGTTTTGGTAGCAGTACCATGCTGTTTTGGTTACTGTAGCTTTGTAGTATAGTTTGAAGTCAGGTTGCGTGATGCCTCCAGCTTTGTTCTTTTTGCTTAGGATTGTCTTGGCTATGTGGGCTCTTTTTTGGTTCCATGTGGGATTTAAAGCAGTTTCTTCCCAATTCTGTGAAGAAAGTCAATGGTAGCTTGATGGGGATAGCATTGAATATATAAATTACTTTGGGCAATATGGCCATTTTCACAGTATAAATTCTTCCTTTCCATGAGCATGGAATGTTGGGGTGGAGAGTTCTGTAGATGTCTATTAGGTCTGCTTGGTCCAGAGCTGAATTCAAGTCCTGGATATTCTTGTTAATTTTCTTTCTCATTGATCTAATATTGACAGTGGGGTGTTAAAGTCTCACACTATTATTGTGTGGTTGTCTAAGTCTCTTTGTGTGTCTCTAAGAACTCGCTTTATGAATCTGGGTGCTCTTGTATTGGGTGCATATATATTTAGGATAGTTAGCTCTTCTTGTTGCATTGATCCTTTTACCATTATGTAATGCCCTTCTTTGTCTCTTTTGATCTTTGTTGGTTTAAAGTCCATTTTATCAGAGACTAGGATTGCAACCCCTGCTTTTTTTTTGCTTTCCATTTGCTTGGTAAATATTCCTCCATCCCTTTATTTTGAGCCTATGTGTGTCTTTGCACATGAGATGGGTCTCCTGAATACAGCACACCAATGGGTCTTGATGCTTTATCCAATTTTCCAGTCTGGGGGCATTTTAATTGGGGCATTTAGACCGTTTACATTTAAGGTTAATATTGTTATGTGTGAATTTGATCCTGCCATTATGATGCTAGCTGGTTATTTTGCTCATTAGTTGAGACAGTTTCTTCATATTTTCAATGATCTTTACACTTTGGCATGTTTTTGCAGTGGCTGGTACCAGATGTTCCTTTCCATGTTTAGTACTTCCTTTAGGAGCTCTTGTAAAGCAGGTCTGGTGGCTGGTGGTGACAAAATCTCTCAGCATTTCCTTGTCTGTAAAGGATTTTATTTCTCCTTTGCTTATGAAGCTTAGTTTGGCTGGATATAAAATTCTGGGTTGAAAATTACTTTTTTTAAGAATGTTGACTATTGTCCCCCGCTCTTTTCTGGCTTGTAGGGTTTCTGCCAAGAGATCTGCTGTTAGTCTGATGGGCTTCCCTTTGTGGGTAGCCTGACCTTTCTCTGGCTGCCTTTAACATTTTTTCCTGCATTTCAACCTTGGTGAATATGACTATTATGTGTCTTGGGGTTGCTCTTCTTGAGAAGTATCTTTGTGGTGTTATCTGTATTTCCTGAATTTGAATGTTGGTCTGTCTTGCTAGGTTGGTGAAGTTCTCCTGGATAATATCCTGAAGAGTGTTTTCCAGCTTGGTTCTGTTCCCTGTGTCACTTGTAGGTACACCAATCAAATGTAGATTTGGGTTTTTCACATAGTCCCACATTTCTTGGAGGCTTTGTTAATTTATTTTCACTCTTTTTTTCTCTAATCTTGTCTTCTCACTTTATTTCATTGAGTTGATCTTCAGTCTCTGATATCCTTTCTTCTGCTTGATCGATTCAGCTATTGATACCTGTGTATGCTTCATGAAGTTCTCGTGCTGTGTTTTTCAGCTCCATCAGGTCATTTATGTTCTTCTTTAAAACGGCAGTTAGCAATTTGTCTAACCTTTTTTCAAGGTTTTTAGCTTCCTTGCATTGGGTTAGAACGTGCTCCTTTAGCTTGGAGGAGTTTGTTATTACCTACCTTCTGAAGCCTACTGTCAATTTTCAAATTCATTCTCTGTCCAGTTTTGTTCTCTTGCTGGCGAGGAGTTGTGTTCCTTTGGAGGAGAAGAGGCGTTCTAATTTTCGGATTTTTCAGTCTTTTTGCACTGGTTTTTCCCCATCTTTGTGGATTTATCTACCTTTGGTCTTTGAAGTCGGTGACCTTCAGAAGTGATCTCTGAGTGGACATCCTTTTTGTTGATGTTGCTACTACTCCTTTCTGTTTGTTAGTTTTCCTTCTAACAGGCCCCTCTGCTGTAGGTCTGCTGGAGTTTACTGGAGGTCCGCTCCAGACCCTATTTGCCTGGGTATCACCGGCAGAGGCTGCAGAACAGCAAAGATTGCTGCCTGTTCCTTCCTCTGGAAGCTTCATCCCAGAGGGGCACCTGCAGATGTCAGCCAGAGCTCTCCTGTATGAGGTGTCTGTCGGCCCCTACTGGGAGGTATCTTCCAGTCAGGATACACAGGGGTCAGGGACCCACTTGAGAGGGCAGATTATCCCTTATTAGAGTTCGAAAGCTGTGCTGGGAGATCTGCTGCTCTCTTCAGAGCCATCAGGCTGGGACGTTTAAGTCTGCTGAAGCTGGGCCCAAAGCTGCCCCTTCCCCCAGGTGCTCTGTCCCAGGGAGATGGGGGTTTTATCTATAAGTCCCTGACTGAGCTGGTGCCTTTTTTTTCAGAGATGCCTTTCCCAGAGAGGAGGGAGTCTAGAGAGGCAGTCTGGCTGCAGCTGCCTTGCTGAGCTGCAGTGGGCTCCGCCCAGTTTGAACTTCCTAGTGGCTTTCTTTACACCGTGAGGGTAAAACCCTACTCAAGCCTGGGCAGTGGCGGATGTCCCTCCCCCCACCAAGCTCAAGCATTCCAGGTCGAGCTCAGACCACTGTGCTGGCAGTGAGAATTTCAAGCCAGTGGATCTTGGCTTGCCGGGCTCTGTGGGAGTGGGACCCACTGAGTCAGACCACTTGGCTCCCTGGCTTCAGCCCCCTTTCCAGGGGAGTGAACGGCTCTGTCTCACTGGTGTTCCAGGTGCCACTGGGGTATGAAAAAAAACTCCTGCAGCTAGCTCGGTGTCTGCCCAAACGGCTGCCCAGTTTTGTGTTTGAAACCCAGGCCCCTGGTGGTCTAGGCATCGGAGGGAATCTCCTGGTCTGTGGGTTGCAAAGACCATGGGAAAAGCACAGTATCTGGGCCAAAGTGCACGGTACAGCCCCTAATGGCTTCCCTTGGCTAGAAGAGGGAGTTTCCCAACCCCTAGCACTTCCTGTGTGAGGCAATACCCCACCCTGGTTTGGGTTGCCTTCCTTGGGCTATACCCACTGTCCAACCGTTCCCAATGAGAAGAACTGAGTACCTCAGTTGGAAATGCAGAAATCACCTGCCTTCTGTGTTGATCTCACAGGGAGCTGCAGACCAGAGTTGTTTCTATTTGTCCATCTTGCCAGCAATCCAGCAAAAATCTCATAATGTTTTAAGGCAGTTTATGAATTTGTGTTGGACCACATTCAAAGCCGTCCTGGGCCACATGCAGCCCATGGGCTGTGGGTAGGACAAGCTTGGGTTAGACTGTTATACCCAGCACAGAGTAAGAACTCAATACGTATTTATTGATTGAAAAAATGAATGTCTTCCAGAGGTGGCTTTTATTCAGGCTAATTTCTCCAGCTTAAGAAATTGAAGTTCCTAAAGTTTTTTTGACTCATTTGTGTATATCATCCATTCTTATTATTCACAGTGGTAATAGTTTATAAAGTTGCTACAAACATGGAATTAGTGAATACTGAGCCATTGCTACTAGAAGAAATACAAGGTTAGGCTCCTGTGAACTTCTGGTCACAACATTTTTGTCAATTAGTCAATATAAAACCTTGTTTTATGTGTGTCCTGTATAAAGACGCTGTTTAATGTATTTTGATTTATTAACATTGAACTCATGGCCAATAGCACCATAGCTCAGGCCTGATGGAAGCTTATCTAACACACATTTTCTCTTGTAAGGCAAATCATAGCCTTCTCCTTCAGAGCACTAGATAGCACCTCAGTGTTATGCTTGGGCCATTTTAAACAGTGACATCACCAACAAAATGCAGAAAAATGTGGCACTAAATAAAGTGTGAAAAGGACAGGACATGGGTTTACAATATGAGAGCTGAAACAAGAAGGCGGAATATTGCCTCGTTTGACCTTTGACCTCAGCTCTGAACATGAGTATGGGGGTCTCAGATTTTTTGCTGCTCTGCATATGTCCAAGAATGATTGGGAAAGTGCCTTGAGTGTTATTTTGGGGTTACAAGTAAACTGTAGCAAATAGGCAATTTCACCAATATGGAATCCATGAATAATGAGGATTGACTGTATATGTATATATAATGATAAAATATATACTATATAAATATATTTTACGTATATTTATATTTTATATATAAGGTCTATATAAAATACATAATGACCTAATTGTTAATATCTTATACATAGTGTTCCGCTACTTGGCAATATATTGTATACAGGTCAATACTCTTTTACAAAATATATTCCAAAAAGTGTTTCTCAGGCCATTGTTAAGTCAGTTTGGGAAATACTGAGATCAAGGAATCCTCTACGCCTGTGGCATCTAAAAAAAAACCAGCGCCTCAGGTTCTTATAGTTATGCTTTAAAGGGGACAGGGTCACTCGTGCCAAAAAGGAAGCTAAAATCAATATCCCTCTTGCACTAGCATATTTTGCCTGTGTTTTGTTACTTTGCTTTTTCTAACTCTTGTAGCCCTTTTTACTGTATCTCATTGGATGAGGCACAATTGGATCCCTCTGACATCATTATATACCTACTCATGTGAGAGGGTATTAACTATTAATTTTGTAATTACAATTTTTCTCTTACATGGCACAGATTTTACATGTAGCTTTCTTCTGAAAAGGTGCAATGTAAAAGTTTTAGTGAAGATCTTGGCTCTGTCAGTGCCTCAGCATCAATTCATTCAATTTTGCATTCCTACAGGCCTGTTCTGGGCTTCCACTTCATTCTCGCTCTCTAGGCATTCAACAAGAGCTTAATTTGACAAGAAGCCACGGGTTATCCTCAGTTCAAATAATTTCAAAATCTCATATCAGATGGCTCTTTTGGAAATGTCAACAATTTCTAAAATGTCAACGCTACAATATAAACAATGCTACATACATTGTTAATAGGAGAAGTAATTTCTAATCCCAATAAAACAGACCCCAGGGAAGTTTGTTGTGATGCCGTGTTTTTCGCTTGAGATCAGTAAAGACCCAGCTGCAGCTGGTGCCTGTCCATGGCCTGGGATTGGAATTGTCTCATTTTCTAAGCCTAAGCATTATAGATTACATCTGGTATGTTGAAATATTTGATAAAATAAAAATGAACATTATTTGATAATACATACAGTATAATTTCAACTGCATATAACTTTTAAAAGTAAATATGTATAATTTTTGCCCTTTAGAACTTACATACTCTCCCTGTTCCCATATGTTTTCTTTAACTTTTGAATTGAAAAAACAAACAAACAGACAAAAACCCTACTCTAGTCCAAAATATCCTTTTAGTATGGTCTTTATGTGCTTTGTTTAATATTCTATAATAATCAAAACCCTATAGATGAGTTAGTGATTGTGTTGTCCTGATTTTTTTCTTATATACACATATTTATGTGCTAAATTCAGATATGATGAAAAAATATTGCAGATGCAAAAATTTAGAAAATAATGATAATGAGAAAACGCCCTACAAAAACCCTTAAACAGCTGGGCACAGTGGCTCATACCTGTAACCCCAGCACTTTGGGAAGCCAGGGACGAGGGTTGCTTGAGGCCAGGGGTTCAAGACCAGCCTGCATAACATAGCAAGACCCCCATCTCTACAAAAACAGACAAATAAATAAAGAACTTATAGCATGTGATCAAAACTGCAACCACAGATAAATCCAAGGCCTTCATACTTTATTTTTATTTTAATAGGTTTTTGGGGAACAGGTGGTGTTTGGTTATAGGAATAAGTTCTTTATTAGTGGTGATTTATGAGATTTTGGTGTACCCATCACCTGAGCAGCTACACTGTACCCAATGTGTAGTCTTTTATTCCTCACCCCCCAACCCTTTACCCTGAGTCCCCAGAGCCCATTATATTATTCTTACACCCTTGCATCCTCATAGCTTAGCTTCCACTTATGAGTGAAAACATGTTTGGTTTTCCATTCCTGAGTTACTTCACTTAAAATAGTGGTCTCCAGTTCCATCCAGACTGCTGCAAATGCCATTATTTCATTGCTTTTTATGGCTGAGTAGTATTCCATTATGTGTGTGTATGTGTGTATGTATATGTGTGTGTGTATATATAGATGTGTATATATATGCATGTGTGTGTGTGTGTGTGTGTGTATATATATATATATATATGTATATACACATACCCCACATTAAAAAAAAATTCACTCATTGATTGATGGACATTTGGGCTGGTTCCATATTTTTGCAATTGCAAAACTGTGCTGTTATAAACATGTATGTGCAAGTATCTTTTTTTGTATAATGACTTCCTTTCCTCTGGGTAGATACCTAGGAGTGAGATTGCTGGATCAAATGGAAGATCTACTTCTAGTTATTTAAGGAATCTCTGCATTGTTTCCCATAGTGGCTGTACCAGTTTACATTCTCACCGACAATATAAAAGTGTTCCCTTTTCACCACATCCATACCAACATCTGTTAATTTTGATTTTTTGATTATGGCCATTCTTGCAGGAGTAAGGTGTTATCACATTGTGGTCTTGATTTGCATTTCCCTGATCATTAGTGATGTTAAGCATTTTTTCATATGTTTGTTGGCCATTTATGTATCTTCTTTTGAGAATTGTTGATTCATGTCCTTAGCCCACTTTTTGATGGGATTGTTTGCTTTTTCTTGCTGATTTATTTGAGTTTGTTGTAGATTCTGGATATTAGTCCTTCATCAGATGTATAGTTTGCAAGCATGCCCAATCTCATCTGGACTTCGTATTTTTATTATTAAATAAGAATGAAAGTAAATGAACACCAGCATAAGTGATTTTAAAACAACCAACAGCCCTATGAAGAGCCCAGCACTTTGGGAGGCCAGGCAGGAGGGTTGCTTGAAGCCCTATAAAGAGCTCTTATAAATCAATATTCAAAGTTAAAAGTATCTTAGGAGAAAAATGGATGGGAGAAGAAGGCCCATGTGCAAACAATTTTTGGGTCCCCAGAAAGGGAAGACTGGCTAAAAAATCTTCAGATGGGATTTGCTTTGGGACTCCTTGACCACTGGGCCTTGTGATTTGCACCAGATTTACTTTCATCTCTTCTGGTAAAAGATATAAAAAGGCAATTTATGAAAGGACTGCTACAGATACCAGTAGATCTAATAAATGCCATACTTACTAAATAATAAATGAGTGAAAAAATAAATAAAATATGAATCTGCCACATTGTCCCAATAAATTGTCAAAAAAAGATAATATCTAGTTGGGTATGGGTGTAGGAAAATGAGCATTTTCATTCTGTTTGTGGAAGTATAAGCTGATTCAGCTTTTCTGAAGCAAAATTGGGCCCTATGTATTATGAATCTCTTTTGAGGCATCAGTTTTATTACTGGGATTTTATCCTGAAGAAATAAGGATATGTGTAAAGGTGTATAAATAAGGATTTTCTTGTAGCATTTATAAGAGGAGAAAATAGGCTACCATGAAGTCATTAAACGTACTCATAGCTATCCTTATCAAACATTTACTACATACAAGGCAATATACTAAGTATATGATGTGCTATCTCATTTATGAGGTTAGTATTTTAAAAATTGTGGCATAAAGAGGTTATGTAATTTATCAGATGTCACATAGTTAAGAATGAGCAAAACTTAAATGAAACCTCAATCTTACTACTATAATAAATGTCCTTTATCACTGAAGAACTACATTTAATGATATAAGGAAATGTTTATAACATATTGCTATTAAAAATTAGGCTACCTTTAATATCTATTAGATATAAGACTATTCAGATTTTCTGTCTTGCCCATACTTTTCCTAAGTTATGTTTTTCCAGGAATTAGTCCATTTCATTTATCATTTCAAATTTATTGGCATAAAGTTGTTAATAATATCCTCATTATATTTGAATGTTTCTAGGAGCCATAGTTGATGTTCTTTTTTTTCCCTGTTTTTTCTTTTTTCTTGGTCTTTATAGGTATTTGTTAATTTAATTTTATTTATTTATTTATTTATTTATTATTTATTTATTTGTTGAGATGGAGTCTTGCTCTGTTGCCCCGGCTGGAGTGCAGTGGTGCGATCTTGGGTCACTGCAACCTCTGCCTCCTGGGTTCAAGCAATTCTCTGCCTCAGCCTCCCAAGTGGCTGGGATTACAAGTGCCTGCCACCACGGCCAGCTAATTTTTTTGTATTTTTAGTAGAGACCGGGTTTCATCATCTTGGCCAGGTTGGTCTTCAACTCCTGACCTGGTGATCCACCCACCTCATCCTCCCAAAGTGCTGGGATTACAGGCTTGAGCCACCACGCCCGGCCTGTTAATTTTATTACTAGGGCTTTCAGAGAACCAACTTTTTGCTTTGTTCATCTTCTTATATGATTTTTTATTTAATTTCTAATGTTATCTTTAATATTTCCATGCTTCTACTTTGGGATTAATTTGACATCCTTTTCTCTTTCCAACTTCTTAAGATTAGGGTGCAGAGATCACTAATTTTTAGCCTTCCTAATTTTTCTAATATATACATTTAAGGCCATAAATGTCCTTCTAAATGTGGCTTCAGTTCTTCTTCTGCAAATATGGATATGTAGTTTTTTTAAAAAAAATTATTGCCACTTCAGATATCTCTTAGTTTCATCATCTTCTTTGACCCATGGGCTATCTAGAAGGGTATTGATTAATTTCTACACATACGAGGATTTTAAAGTTATCTTTTTATTTTATTTTATTTTATTTTTATTTTTGAGACAGGGGCTCACTCTGTTGCCCAGGCTGGAGTGCAGTGGCACAAACACAGCTCACTGCAGCCTCCACCTCCCGGGCTCAAGCGATCCTCCTGCCTCAGCCTCCCAAGTAGCTGGGACCACAGACACGTGTCACTATGCCTGGCTAATTTTTTAAATTTTTTGTAGTGACAAGGTTTCTTCATGCTTCCCAGGCTGCTTTCAGACTCCTGGGCTCAAGTGATCCTCCTGCCTTGGCCTCCAAAAATGTTGGGATTATAGGCATGAGCTACTGTGCCTTTTTGGTGTTATTAGCTTAATTTTATGTGGTTAATTAAGACATAATCTGTATTATTTAAATCTTTGGAAACTTGTTGAAACTTGATTTTTGGCTCAGATTTTGCACAATTTAGTAAATGTTCGGTGGTATTTGAAAAGAAGTATATTTGACACTAGTTGGGCACGCTGTTCTATATCTGTCCATTAGGTAGTTTGTTATTCTTGTTCAAATCTGTAGCCTTACTGATGTTTTATTTGCATTTTCTGTCAATTACTGAAAAGGATGTGTTAAAATCACCAATCATGGTATGGATTTCTGTATTTCTTTTATTTCTGCCAGAGTCTTTGCTTCATATATTTTTAGGTAACATTCTTAGATTCAAACAAATTTAGATATTACTATATTTTCCCTTTAAATTTTTTATCCCATTAAATGTCCCTCTTTTTTTCAGTAATGCTTCTTGCCTTAAAGTCTGCTTTGCCTTATATTACTGAGGATTCACCAGCTTTCTTTTGGTTAGTGTTTGCCTGGCATATGCAGTTTTTCTATCCTTTCACTCTCAACATCATTTACTTATGGTGTATCTTTTACATAATTGAGTTATTTATTTTTAATCCAGTCTGACAATGTTTTCTTTTAATTATACATTTGATTTATTCACATTCAATGTATTATTTATATATTTGAGTTTAAACCTACCATTTTAATACATACTTGTCATACTAGTCTATCCTCTTTTTTCTCCCTTTCTTGCCTTCTTTTTGGTTAATCAGTTTTTATTCCATTTCCTCTCTTCTTTTACCACTCTTTTAGGGATTAAACTTGATATATTAACATTCTTTTTTGATTTATACAAGTATTTTATGTATTGTTACTTTTTTTAGTTTTGGATAAAGCAGAGATGGTAGAGCAGCCCCTGCCTGCCTCATATATTATTAATGTCAAGGATTTTAATGATATATTTTATTTTTTAATTTTTATTTTAAGTTCAGGGGTACATCTACAGGTTTGTTATGTAGGTAAGTTGTATATCATAGGGGGTTGGTGTACAGATTATTTCATCATCCAGGTAATAATCATAGTACCTGATAGGTAGTTTTTCAATCCTCTCCCTCTTCCTACCCTGTACCCAGAAGCAGGCCTCGGTGTCTATTCTTCCCTTTTTTGTGTCCATATATATTTGATATGTGAGTACATGTAGTAATTGGTTTTCAGTTCCTGTGTTAGTTCACTTAGGATAATGGCCTCCAGCTCCATCTATGTTACTGGAAAGGACATGACCTCATTCTTTTTTATGGCTGCATAGTATTCCATGTGTGTATATGTACCACATTTTTTATATCCAGGCAACAGTTGATGGGCATTTAGGTTGATTCCATATAATGACATGTTTTAAACTCCATGTGACATTATTACTATTATTTTGTAGTTAACATTCACCTGATATACTGACATACTTTACCCTTCCCATCATTCTGTATTCTGTCCTGTATCTCAAAGCTGCTTTCTGGGATTATTTTCCTTTCCCTTTTTATATGTCCACTAGTGTATTTGTGCTGATTACAAATTTTTGTAGTTTTTGCATTAAGTGTATTTTACCTTAAATTTCAAATGGATTTTTGGTGGTTATAGAATTCTGTATTCAGAATTATTTTCTTTTAGCAAATTGAAGACACTATTTTATCGTCTTCTCCTCCCTGCCTCTCCTGCCTTCCTCCACCACTGTTGGGAAATCAGTTGACGGTTTTATTTATTTATTTGTTTATTTATTTATTTATTTATTTATTTATTTCTGGAGACAGAGTCTCGCTCTGTCCCCCAGGCTGGAGTACAGTGGCCCAATCTCGTCTCACTGCAAGCTCCGCCTCCCGGGTTCATGCCATTCTCCTGCCTGAGCCCCCGAGTAGCTGGGACTACAGGCATCTGCCACTACACTCAGCTAATTTTTTGTATTTTTAGTCGAGACAGGGTTTCACCGTGTTAGCCAGGATGGTCTCGATCTCCTGACCTCGTGATCCGCCCGCCTCAGCCTCCGAAAGTGCTGGGATTACAGGCGTGAGCCCCCGCGCCCGGCCGATGGTTTTATGGTTTTACTTGTAATGTATTGCTTTTCTTCTGGCTGATTTTAAGGTTTTCCTTTTGTCTTTGTTTTTCAGCAGTTTGACCATGATGTGCTCAGTACCATTTTCTTTATATTTATTCATCTTGGAGTTTGTAGCACTTGGTGGTTTTATCATTTTTTTGGGAAAATTTTTGCCATTATGTCTTCAAATTTTGCTTCTGCTTTACTCTCCCCTCTTCTTCTTAGACCATTTCATCATATCTCCTGTGTTTTTTATGTTCTTTGCTGTATTTTTTCATTATTTTGATTTTCCATGCTTCAGCCTGTATATTTTCTTCTGATGTTCTACTTCACTAATTATTCCTTTAGTTGTATGCAATCTGTTAAATCTATCTATTGTACTGTCAATTTACAATGTTTATTTTTCACTTCTAGACTTTCTAGAATTTTCATTTATTTTCTGCTTTCCAGTTCTCTGCTGAAATTCTCTATCCTCTCATTTAATTGATTGAACATAATAATAGTTTGTCTGTCTTCGATATTTCAATATTTAAATCTCTTGTGAGTTTGTTTCTATTGTGTTTTTTCTTGATTTTTACATAAATCTTATCTTTTTACCTGCTCTTCCCCCCAACCTTTTTCTGATTGAGTGCCAGATATTTTTATAAAGAATTTTAGAGAAAAATTGAGGTTCTGGGTATTGTTTTCTTTCTCCAGGGAAGATTTCCTTTAGCTCTTTCTAGAGCTTGTCTAGACAGGTCAGCTTAATTCTTTCAGAATTGAGAGGACTCAAATCTGGGCTTCCGTCCTTGGGTAGGTTAGTTTGTTTCTAGTTCACCCTTATTCTTTGGGGGCAACCTTTAAGAACCTTACTGAAAGTGTAGGGTATTTGCCGGAGACCCTTCTCTTTGGGAAGCCTTGAACTCAAATGTTCTCTGAGTCCCGTGAAAATGAAGAAAATTGTGCTCACTTTCTTGTCTCCCATTTGTTATTTTCATTTTCAGAATTGGCAATTTGCCTTGAGGGGAAATGTGCTGTAAATTCTGGAATTACCTCTCTTGGTTTCCCTTATCTCCTAGACCTTGGCCCCACAACTTCTCACTGTCTTCGTAGTTGTTTGAGGCCAACATATATTTCAAGTATATATTTTAAAACAGCTTATAGTTGTTCTCCACAGGAGGGTTATTCTAAAAGTATGCATCATCCATTGCTAGAAGCAGAACTCCATTTTTTTTGCTAGTCGTAGAAATACGCATAAACAAACGGCTCAAGGAATTTAGAATTTTTGTAGTACCATGGAAGCTTTTGTTTTCATTTTTACTCCCTTATGAGATATGTTTTCTGAAAAGTGCATGAATTATGCTGAAATGTTTATTAAAATGAAAATATATAGGACATTAACATCTGTATGTAAATTAGGATGCTAGTAGCAGCATTGATTTGTAATTGTTTTAAAATATTATTATAATAATAAAAAAGATATTAATATATAAACCAAAGCATCACCTATAATCTCCTTATGTAAACTTACCTTTTTTATTTTCTGGTCTGTGCCTTTATTTTATATACAGCTATAACAGTGTGCATGTGAAGTGTGTGTTCATAGCATTGAATTTTAATGATGTACTTTGAGAAAAAATAGGCTTCCTGTATTTTTTTTCTATTACCATGTTTATAATTCTGGTCAAGTATCTTATCATTCTTTACCTAGAATTAAAAAGATTGGGGTTTATAGATTTTGGTTCTATCCTAAAGGTATATAGTTAAAATGTCAGATAAATGGTTAAGATATTAACATCACTAAATGTATATGGCATCTTTCTACAGATGTTTCTCTTTCAAATTACAAAAGACATAAGGTGCATTTTGCTTCAGAATATTACATTTGGTTTTGCCTGCCTTTAAAAGCTTTATTTCAGCTTGTATGGATTATTTTCTGCTCTTCTTTGTTTGAAATCCATTTATCAATCTTCAGATGTAGTTTTCTTCCCAGAACAATGCCTTTGTGTCATTAATGGTGTTGGTATTGATCCTGAATGATACTAGACTGATGACTTGGAATCCTTTGATGATATCTCTGATAAACTTTTAGAAAAGACAAATTATTAGATTCACGTTAACATCACTATACTTACAGGTATCTTAATCAAATTCTTGACAATAAAAGGGGAAGCCAAATTTTAATTGAATATTGCCCTTAAAAATGGAAGAATCCCAAGATTTTTGGTAGCTAGGTAATATTAAGTAGGTGAAAATAGGAAAAAAAATGTGTCTGTTCTTGGAAATAAAGAGTTTCAGGCCTTAGTAAACTAGAAGAGAGTCTTCTCTGAAAACATTGCTAATAATTCTTGTTACATTTAAAATATCAGTATTATGAAAAAACACAGGGATTAATCTAGGTCACATATCCACTCCTTTGAAAATGTGGCGACTCTAAGTTATGCGGTGAATTTTATTTTTATGAAAGGCTCTGGTAAAGAACTTATATGGAGCTCCAGCTCTGGAAACTTCACTAGAGGTCCTAGAACCCTAGCCACTCGTTTTCTCTTTAGATTCCTTACGTTAAAATCTGTCATTTTAATCTATTGAGTAGTGAATACATTCACAGGCAAAGGGGCTGGGAGAGAAAAGAATAAAACTTCAAAAGATATAAAAGGAACTATAGGGAGAAATCTTTTTGCCATGGATCCCCCAGCCGCCCAATTCTCTTCCATGGAGACAATCTGTATTGACTGCTTCTAGCATATCTTTCTAGGAGTATTTTAAATATTTACAAGTAAATACATTTAAGTATATATTTCTCCCTTCTGTACACAAACTCTATCTGTTCTACATTTAGTTTTCTCATAACGTATCTTGCAGATCATTTCATATAAATATGCGAAGAGCCTCCTCCCCACCTTTTCCCTCTCTTTTTTTAAGATAGTTTGAGTCTTACTTTTTAGAGATACATGCGTATAATAATCTACTAAATGGTAGTGCATTTTTTTTCTTTCTGCAAACATATATTGAGTCTTCTCTGTACCAAGAACTGTGCTCTACCAAAAGTACAATTACTAGGGGACCTCATGGAGTTTTTTTTTTTTTTTTTTTTTTTTGAGAGAGAGTCTTGCTCTGTCGTCCAGGCTGGAGTGCAGTGGCACGATCTTGGCTCACTGCAACCTCCGCCTCCTGGGTTCAAGCGATTCTCCTGCCTCAGCCTCCTTAGTAGCTGATACTACAGGCGTGCACTACCATGCCCAATTTTTGTATTTTTAGTAGTGACGGGGGTTTCACTGTGTTGGTTAGGCTGGTCTCAAACACCTGACCTTGTGATCCACCCGCCTTGGCCTCCCAGAGTGCTAGGATTATAGGCGTGAATGACCGCGCCCAGCCAAGGGAGTCTTACCAGTTTGTAGTTTATATGTATTTGTTACTTTGGTGAACTCCTGTTTTCTCATAGTGATGAACAGCAACACCCTAAAAAAATGCACCTTGTACATACTTTGAGATATCACATTGAAGGGAAGGGTGAGGACCAGGGAGACAGGGAAAGGTTCCAGGAGAAACAGTCCAGGTGATAGTAACTCTAAAATAGAAAGGAAAACAGTAAAAGCTCTGATGTCGGGCAAAATGGGCTCACAGAGGCAAAGAGGGCAGATGGAAGCAGAGTGCTGTTAAGGCTGGGGGTCTGGGTGGTTTCCCAATGACTTCACCTTCTCATTCCTCATCCTTCAGAAGAGCCATACTGGTGGAAAGAGAACTTGCTGTGTTTTTCAGTGTAAATAGGAAACATATATCTGTTCAGGGTGCTATTTAAAAAACAACTACATCAAATTACAGAGAATGAAATGGTACTGTCATTTGAGTAAATTACCTATTTAATGTCAGTCATGACCTAATAATATGTTTTCTTTATATATAAAGGCAATGTCATTCCTCTGCTATCAGTAGGGCTATTTCCTCCCTCTGTCTTGCTTCATCTCCTTGTCTTGCTGAGGGGAGGGGTCAGGTGGAAGCCATGAAACACAATGACCCTGAATAGCTTTCACAACAATTGACACTTGGCCATGGCTACCTTAACGTCTTGTCTGGTGTTCTGAGAGTAATCAGCCTCAGGCAATAATCTGATAGTTTGATAATTACATCACATTTTTTCCATAATACTCAAGAGCATTATTAAAGAATGTGTACAGTTTTTTCTCTTAATTGTTCTGGGTAGAACTTTTATAGATGGTAAACTGTTGCAAGAACAGTTAAAATGGGATTTTCAAGGTTGTATAACATATTCTATTTAGATATAAGAATTTTACAACATCCCATTTAGTCTGCATTTTTGCAAAGACCTTTTATTTACAAGAAGTTGCATTTGCTAGCAAGTGTTCAGAAATATCCTTGATTTTTTTTTTTTTTTGGCACTGATCATCTATTTACTTAACAACTTAAAAGTACCATTCAGAAGCTCATACCCTCAACCCTTTCACCTTAGCTTCTCATGCTTTCAACACAGCATGTCTTCCTCTGAACTTGTCTTTTGTTTTCATTTTTTGTTGTTGTTGTTGTTCAGAGACAGAGTTTCACTCTGTCTCCCTCAACTCCCTACATCTGAACTCCTAAAGCTCAGGACTGTTCCAGCTCCTGAGCCTGTTCAGATGGGGCCACGGGAAGAAGCAGCCTGAGACTCCCTATTTTGTGAACCTTGGAATAAAAACTTGCTTCAGTCCAGACCTTGGATGTGTCTTCCTTGAGGCCAGTTTCTGCAGCAGGTTCCTTACCCCCAGCCCTTATTTTATGTCCAAGTGAATAAGGAACTCTGGATCTCAGTCTGGTTCCTCTCCTTATTGGCTTTATGTTGTTACCTCTGCTTCATGCCTGAGCCTGTGTGCTTTGAAATTTGTGTGTGACTATGATAAGGATAAGAGTGAGTTCTGGAATCAGATGAGATAATTTTTAATTCTGGCTCTATAGTTTACCAGCAGAGTGGCCTCAGAAAGGTTATCAACCTCTCTATAAGCCTCAGCTTTTCTCGTCTATAAAATGTGGATAATAACAGCATCTCCCTTATAGGATTGTTGAAGGATTAAGTGAAGTAATGTATGTCAAATTCTTGGCACCCAATGGTTGCTTAATAAGTGTTAGCTATTATTATTATGACTTAGATGTTGACTGTTTGATGTAACCAATACAGGTAGATAGAACTCTAAGGTTCCTTATAGGTGAAGACTATGATAGGTCCATTGGCATATTAATTAATATTTGTTAAATGAGTAAATGATGGAGATGCCCTTTTTATACAGTTAACTTTCAAATAAGAAGTTTTAAAAAGGTCCAGAGTGGTTTGTTCTTTCAAAAAATATATATAATTCTTTTTTAAAGAGATGGAGTCTCACTGCATCACCCAGGCTGGAGTGCAGTGGCATGATCATAGCTCGCTGCAACCTACAACTCCTGGTCTCGAGCAATCCTCCTGCCTCATCCTTCTGAGTAGCTGGGACTATAGTCACATGCCACTATGCCTGGCTAATTTTTTTATTTTTTATTTTGTAGAGATGGAGTCTTGCTTTGTTGCCCAGGCTGGTCTCAAACTCCTGGCCTCAAGTGATCCTTCTACTTTGGCTTCCCAAAGTACTGGGACTACAAGTGTGAGCCGCTGTGTTTAGCTTCTGGAAATATTTTTGAATGCTTTCTGCATATAAGATCTTGTCACTGATACAATAAAGTACAATTTTCTACACCACTTTTTTTTTTTAAAGCATCTTAACATACTTTTAAATTTTGTACTCAAATACAAGGGGTAGTAGAAAATTACTATAGTATGGTAATACCTTGTTTTTATTCTAGATTTTTCAGGTGTAAGTTAGTCTATGTGTCCCCATCTCTAAAGGCCAAATAGCAAGCTTTCCAAGTGGTCTTCTTAAAGCCTGTCTATTTTGATTTGTGGGGATGGGGAAGACATCCTCTAGTTTACCGTCTTGGGAGAGGAGTTAGGCCTCTTGTTATATTCCAACAGCTTTCTCCCAAATCTCCTAATCTGTGACTTCTAACCCTTTCATATCCTGATGTAGCTGAGGGAGTAGGAAACATGCACAGTTGTCTCTCTCTCTCTCTCTTTTTCTCTTTCTCTCTTACTCTCCTTCCTCCCTTCCCTTCCCTTCCCTTGCCTTCCCTTCCCTTGCCTTCCCTTCCCCTTTCCCTTCCTCCTCCCCTTCCCTTCCCTTCCCTTCTTTCTTTGTCTCACTCTGTTGCCCAGGCTGGAGTGCAGTGATGCGATCTTGTCTCAGGTGGCACTGCAACCTCCGCCTCCTGGGTCCAAGCAATTCTGTCTCGGCCTCCCTAATACCAGTGGTTACAGGTGCATGCCACCATGCCTGGCTAATTTTGTATTTTTAGTACAGATGGGGTTTCACCATGTTTGCCAGGCTGGTCTTGAACTATTGGCTTCAAATTCTCTTTTTTTGTTGTGTCTCTGCCAGGCTTTGGTATCAGGCTGATGCTGGCCTCATAAAATGAGTTAGGGAGGATTCCCTCTTTTTCTATTGATTGGAATAGTTTCAGAAGGAATGGTACCAGCTCCTCTTTGTACCTCTGGTAGAATTCGGCTGTGAATCTGTCTGGTCCTGGACCTTTTTTTTTGGTTGGTAGGCTATTAATTATTGTCTCAATTTCAGAATCTGTTATTGGTCTATTCAGAGATTCAACTTCTTCCTGGTTTAGTCTTGGGAGGGTGTATGTGTCGAGGAATTTATCCATTTCTTCTAGATTTTCTAGTTTATTTGCATAGCAGTGTTTATAGCATTCTCTGATGGTAGTTTGTATTTCTGTGGGATCGGTGGTGATATCCCCTTTATCATTTTTTATTGCATCTATTTGATTCTTCTCTTTTCTTCTTTATTAGTCTTGCTAGCGGTCTATCAATTTTGTTCATCTTTTCAAAAAACCAGCTCCTGGATTCATTGATTTTTTTGAAGGGTTTTTGTGTTTCTGTCTCCTTCAGTTCTCCTCTGATCTTAGTCATTTCTTGTCTTCTGCTAGCTTTTGAATTTGTTTGCTCTTGCTTTGCTAGTTCTTTTAACTGTGATGTTAGGGTGTCGATTTTAGATCTTTCCTGCTTTCTCTTGTGGGCATTAAGTGCTATAAATTTCCCTCTACATACTGCTTTAAATGTGTCCCAGAGATTCTGGTAGGCTGTCTTTGTTCTCATTGGTTTCAAAGACATCTTTATTTCTGCCTTCATTTTGTGATTTACCCAGTAGTCATTCAGGAGCAGGTTGTTCAGTTTCCAGATAGTTGTGCGGTTTTGAGTGAGTTTCTTAATCCTGAGTTCTAATTTTATTGCCCTGTGGTCTGAGAGACAGTTTGTTGTGATTTCTGTTCTTTTACATTTGCTGAGGAGTGTTTTACTTCCAATTATGTGGTCAGTTTTGGAATAAGTGCGATGTGGTGCTGAGAAGAATGTATATTCTGTTAATTTGGGGTGGAGAGTTCTACAGATGTCTATTAGGTTGGCTTGGTCCAGAGCTGAGTTCAAGTCTTGGATATCCTTGTTAATTTTCTGTCTTGTTGATCTAATACTGACAGTGGGGTGTTAAAGTCTCCCATTATTATTGTGTGGGAGTCTAAGTCTCTTTGTAGGTCTCTAAGAACTTGCTTTATGAATCTGGGTGCTCCTGTATTGGGTGCATGTATATTTAGAATAGTTAGCTCTTCTTGTTGCACTGATCCCTTTACCATTTGTAATGCCCTTCTTTGTCTCTTTTGATCTTTGTTGGTTTAAAGTCTGTTTTATCAGTGACCAGGTTTGCAACCCCTGCTTTTTTTTGCTTTTCATTTTTGGTAGGTCTTCCTCCATCCCTTTATTTTGAGCCTATGTGTGTCTTCGCATGTGAGATGGGTCTCCTAAATACAGCACACCCATGGGTCTTGACTCTGTCTAATTTGCCAGTCTGTGTCTTTTAATTGGGGCATTTAACCCATTTACATTTAAGGTTAATATTGTTATGTGTGAATTTGATCCTGTCATTATGATGCTAGCTGGTTATTTCACCCATTAATTGATGCAGGTTCTTCATAGTGTCAATGGTCTTTACAATTTGCATATTTTTGCAGTGGCTGGTACTGGTTGTTCCTTTCCATGTTTAGTGCTTCCTTCAGGAGCTCTTGTAAGGCAGGCCTGGTGGTGACAAAATCTCTCAGCATTTGCTTGTCTGTAAACGATTTTATTCCTCCTTCACTTATGAAGCTTAGTGTGACTGGATATGAAATTCTGCGTTGAAAATTCTTTTCCTTAAGAACATTGACTGTTTTTTTTTTATTTTATTAGTATTATACTTTAAGTTTTAGGGTACATGTGCACAATGTGCAGGTTAGTTACATATGTATACATGTGGCATGCTGGTGTGCTGCACCCATTAACTCGTCATTTAGCATTAGGTATATCTCCTAATGCTATCCCTCCCCTCTCCCCCCACCCCACAACAGTCCCCAGAGTGTGATATTCCCCTTCCTGTGTCCATGTGTTCTCATTGTTCAATTGCCACCTACGAGTGAGAACATGTGGTGTTTGGTTTTTTGTCCTTGAGATTGTTTACTGAGAATGATGATTTCCAGTTTCATCCATGTCCCTACAAAGGACATGAACTCATCATTTTTTATGGCTGCATAGTATTCCATGGTGTATATGTGCCTGTTGGCCCCCACTGTCTTCTGGCTTGTAGGGTTTCTGCCAAGAGATCTGTTATTAGTCTGATGGGCTTCCCTTTGTGGGTAGCCCAACCTTTCTCTCTGGCTGTCCTTAACATTTTTTCCTTCATTTCAACCTTGGTGAATCTGACAATTATGTGTCTTGGGGTTGCTCTTCTTGAGGAGTATCTTTGTGGTGTTCTCTGTATTTCCTGAATTTGAATGTTGGCCTGCCTTGCTAGGTTGGGGAAGTTCTCCTGGATAATATCCTGAAAAGTATTTTCTAACTTGGTTCCATTCTCCTCATCACTTTCAGGTACACCAATCAAATGTAGATTTGGTCTTTTCACATAGTCCCATATTTCTTGGAGGCTTTGTTCATTTATTTTCACTCTTTTTTCTCTAATCTTGCCTTTTCACTTTATTTCATTAATTTGATCTTCAATCACTGACATCCTTTCTTCCGCTTGATCGAATCAGCTATTGAAGCTTGTATATGCTTCACAAAGTTCTCGTACTATGGTTTTTAGCTCCATAAGGTCGTTTAAGCTTTTCTCTACATGGGTTATTCTAGTTAGCCATTCATCTAACCTTTTTTCAAGGTTTTTAGCTTCCATGCGATGGGTTAGAACACACTCCTTTAGTTTGGAGAAGTTTGTTATTACTGACCTTCTGAAGCCTACTTCTGTCAACTTGTCAAACTCATTCCTCATCCAGTTTTGTTCCCTTGCTGACAAGGAGCTGTGTTTGTTTGGAGGAGAAGAGGCGTTCTGGTTTTTGGAATTTTCAGCCTTTCTACTCTAGTTTCTCCCCATCTTTGTGGTTTTGTCTACCTTTGGTCTTTGATGTTGGTGACCTATGGATGGGGTTTTGGTGTGGATGTCCTTTTTGTTGATGTTGATACTATTCCTTTCTGTTTGTTAGTCTTCCTTTTAACAGACAGGCCCCTCAGCTGCAGGTCTGTTGGAGTTTGCTGGAGGTCCACTCCAGACCCTGTTTTCCTGGGTATCACCAGAGGAGGCTGCAGAACAGCAAATATTGCTGCCTGATCCTTCCTCTGGAAGCTTTGTTCCAGAGGGGTACCCACCTGTACGAGATGTCTGTTGGCCCCTACTGGGAGGTGTCTCCCAGTCAGGCTACACGGGGGTCAGGGAACCACTTGAGGAGGCAGTCTGTCCGTTATCGGAGCTCGAACACCATGCTGGGAAGACCACTGCTCTCTTCAGAGCTGTCAGGCAGGGACATTTAAGTCTGCAGAAGCTCTCTGCTACCTTTTGTTCAGATATGCCCTGCCCCTAGAGGGGGAATCTAGAGAGGCAGTAGGCCTTGCTGAGCTGTGGCGGGCTCCACCCAGTTTGAGCTTCCCTGCTGCTTTGTTTACACTGTGAGCATAGAGCCGCCTAGTCAAGCCTCAGCAATGGCGGATGCCCCTCCCCCTGCCAAACTCCAGCATCCCAGGTCAATCTCAGACTGCTGTGCTAGCAGCGAGCAAGGCTCCGTGGGTGTGGGACCTGCTGAACCAGGCATGGGAGGGAATCCTGTGGTCTGCTGGTTGCGAAGACTGTGGGAAAAGTGTGGTGTTTGGGCAGGAGTGTACTGTTTCTCCAGGTACAGTCACTCATGGCTTCCCTTGGCTAGGAAAGGGAAATTCCCTGACCCCTTGCACTTCCCAGGTAAGGCGACACCCCACCCTGCTTCGGCTTGCCCTCCATGGGCTGCACCCACTGTCCAACTGGTCCTAATGAGATGAACCATTTTCCTCAGTTGGAAATACAGAAATCACCTGTTCTGTTTCGATCTCTCTGGGAACTATAGACTGGAGCTGTTCCTATTCAGCCATCTTGGAAGTGACCCCCGCCCACAGTTGTTTTTAAATTAAACTTTTTATTTGGAGTTTGTTGTAGATTCACATGCATTTGTAAGAAATAGTAGAGATACATCCCTTCTACCCTTTACCCAGTTTCCCTCCAGTGGTAACCTCTCACAAAACTATAGTGCAATCTCACAGCTAGGAAATGGACATCAATCCAGTCAAGATACAGAACAGTTGCATCATGATAAGGTCCTTTGGATAGAAATGTAGGCTGTTGGGGGCCTTTTTAGTCTGCACTCATTGGTGTTTCTGGGTTGCCAACTCCTCCAGCTGCTAGTCTGGGATGTATGCAGCAAAAAGGAAAGAAGCGGACTCGCCCATGTTATTCCCTAGCTGGCCTGTCTTCTCTCCAGAATCTTTTGGTTGTTTTAGATATAATTTCCAGGGTTTTTAGTTGTGCTTAGTGGGAGAGATAGGAAAAAATATGTCAACTCCGTCTTCCCAGATGTAAAACTGTTTTTTAAAATCACCCGTTTTGCCAGTTTGTGGTGTAGCCTTGTGCCTCACTTGAAATTTATTATCTCAGTGCTTCAGACAAAATTTCCTATTGGCATCTAGTTGCATGCACATGAAGAAGAAAGGATTGCAAAATACAGTACGTTTGCAACACAACCAATTATGTAAAAAGCCTGTGTTTTCATTGTTTTAGTAACAATGCATAAAGATATTCCTAAATTACTCTCTTTCTAGCTTCAGGGAGATCATTCTGCAAATATAGGTTTTGGGAAAATTGTTAAAGAAGTAATTGAGTTCCACTGTTGATAAAAATGAATATTGTTGTTATGCATTTTTTTCACCTGTTATAACAAGAGGGCTATTTATTCTAGTAACAGGGCAGCCAGAGTATAGAGAGTGGTGGGCAGCAGCCAGTTTGCATGGGCTTGTGAGATATGATTGTTTTCAGGAATTCTGCAAGGTGGTAATTGAACATAGCCATTATTAAAAATTGAATTACATAACATTTCAATAAATTATATTACAAACAAAAGTAACAAATATTCAAAATTCACTACTTCCTGGTTGTTTTTACCACATTCCACTACTATGTCCTTGAGATTATTTCCATCTCTTGTTTCTGTGTAGTGGAAATACTCTGTAGTGGAAATGGCATCTTACTGTGCATCTCTTCTCACCTAATCTGCTGTTAAGATTCTCTGTGTTCAATGATGCCACATGTGTAGCTTGCAATCAGCCACGGTAGGAGTATTTATGCCACAGAAATTGGAAAAATGTTACAAATCAGGGCTTTACCTCTGGAGAGCCTGTTGTTGAACATTTTCTAGAACACCACTGAGCATAAGCCATTTTTCCCTAGATTCTCTCTGTTCCTAAAGATTATTTTTTTTTGTGCTTCAAAACCTGCCTTATTCTCAGGAGTGTTTGAACTTCTAGACCTAAATTATATGCATTTTATATAATGTAATAGCAAGATAAGACCAAGTATTTCTTTAACCTTCATAATCCACAATGGGAGACAGATAGATGTTTTCTATTATTCTGCCTTTTGAAGAAGCCTTGCTGATGGAGCTGATGCTATGTTCAGATTAACTATGTGAACAGAAGGGGTGGGGGAGGGGGAAGACAAATGACTTGTTTCTCCAATACAGCTGCTCTGGCTATTGTCTTTAATTACACTCCTCCTGGACTGATAAGGAATGGGTTTCTGACAGCTGTGAGAAGCTGCCACACCACCGAGCCCTAATATTTCTTTTTGGGTATAAGCAATGTCTTGTGCACTAGGAAACATAGACATGAATTATTTTTGATAATTGTGATTGGCTGTGTTTCTAGTATGCCTAGGGCCTCAATTTTCTTAAAGTGACATGGCCTCTCTTTAGAAGTTTACCTTCTGCATTTAGTGAGGCAGGAGGTTGTAGTGGTTTGAATGTAGATATGTTTTTCTAGCTTTTCAGCGTATTCCTTATTCATATGCCATTTTATTTGTCATTTAAAAATATGCTTATATCTGTTTAAAAATATGACTGATAGCTATGACTTATCTAGGTGAATTTCCCTTTCCAGTTCAGCAATAATTCTCTGTGGTTCTTTTGAATATCCCAGTAGTTGTGTGAACCCAAAGCAAAGGCACATGACATAGAGGACGTGCTTTTTAATTTTTCGTAGGAAAAAAAGCTAGCAGAACTGCACATTTCAGTCTTTTATCACTGTCATCCTCACCTCCATTGTGGTAAATGGCCAAATGCCAAAGCAAAAAAATGTATTACTGTCTGTTCCAGGGGAGTATTATCTGAGGGAAAAAGTATGATTATGCTCTTGTTCTGAGCTACAGGGTTGAAATGATTAAGAAACGAAAGTACCTGATGATTTAGTTTACCGTAGGGTTTCAATTAAGAATCTACCAAATGTGATTAGAAAGACCCATATCCTATTATAGTATTCTAGAATAACTTACACAAAATTGGGCGTGAAGTAATTAAATATTTTATGTTGGATTAATAGAGGGTGTTTCAAAGGAAATGCTTTTCCCTGTATATTTCTCTCCAATGAGGGAGTCATTTTAACTTTCCATTGAAAGTGGATATGCACTCTTCTTATTGCAGGGTCTTTGAAATAAGCTTATCCTGCTGCCAGAGCTCAGCTACAGAGTAGCGGATAAAATGGGGCCAAGAGAGCCCAGCATGGAGAGCCAGGGAACTCTACGTCAAGCAGCATTACCCAGGACCCATTAGAGGGAAGCAAAGCCAGATGTGTAGGGATTTAGGATATGACAAAATCAGCTCTTTGAATAAGCAGAGACTCAAGTCCTCATAATAAGAGCCCTGGAATAAACATAAGACATCTAGACATCCCAGCAGGGAACAGGCCAGCTGGGATGGGCACCACATATACTAAACCATTCAGGAGAGGGTCCAGAGAGAACCACTTGAAAAAGTCTGGCCAGTCCCTGGCCCTGCTGGTTAATTCAGGCGAGTGCACTTGTTAAGCTTGTGGGCTCAAGAGTCAGATCAACAGGTTTATATCCTGGATCCGCCAAGTAACACCTATGTGAACTTGTCTTTTTAAAACTCAGTTATGTTATCTATAAAATGAGAATAATGATATAACACACCTCATGTAAAGCTCTTAGCAAAGTTTTGGAACCTAGTAAATTCTCCATGATGTTAGCTATACATATGCTAATGCAATTATTTTATTATTAGTTCCATAGTGAAAGGAGACTATTATCAGAATCCATTCTAAAATTTTATGACTTTTAGTATATTAGTATATTTAGTGAACTGTATCTCATTCTCATTACAAAATGAAGGTTTAAGAATTCCCCACAAATCCTTTTATACTCTTTATAGTGTTCCTAAGCAGAAAATCCTTAGGGTGTTATTCTACATTGATATCTACTACAGGGGGCCCTGCCCTGACTATTGGACTGGCCAGAGTGGAAAAGTAGAGTCATATAAGCAGCCCCCTTACAGAATGCAGACTTAACAAAGCCTGTTTTTGTCTGAATTTGTTACCAGTTAACTTAGTTTGTATCTTTATGTGTCCCTCATGTGTAGTGAGGTAGCATCTGAGGATACAGTGAGGATACAGTGACAAAGCAAGAGACTGTTCCCGTTTACTCATTCATCATTTATTCATTGACTCATGGAGTCATTAACTGATTGATTCATTCATTTATTCATTCAACTATGGTGACTGACCACCTGAAATGTACCAGTCACTCCCTGCACTAGTATTATAATCTCTGTTTTTAAGAATTTCACATCCAGTAGAGGTGACAGAAAAAGCAAGCAGGGAAATAAAATATAGTGGTACTTGTTACATGTAGTGACAGTGAAGACATCTGGAAACAATGACTAGATGAAGGTGGCTCCTAACTGTAATGACAGGTCCTGGGCAAAAATTTTGCTTGTACAGCAAATACTTGTTGACTACCTACTATGTGCCAGGAAATTAAAAAAAAACCTGGGCATATAGCAGTAAAGAAGACAAGACCCCTGCTGTCATGACTTTTACATTCTTCTAGGGGGAAGCAGAATAAACTACTAGGAAAAATATCAAATAAGAATATATATTATACAATGAATTAAGGGAGATAGTTTGGGGAATAATTGGATAGCTATTTTATATAGAGTGGTCAAGAAAGCCTCCCTGAGATGGTGACATTTGAAATGAGACCTAAAGGTTGAGAAAGAAAATCAGGGGAAGAGCAATTTAGGTGGAGAGGAAAGTTAGTGGAAATGTCCTGATGCAAAATAGAGACTGACATGTTCAAAAGGCCAGTGTAGCTGGTGCAAGGCAAGCCAGGTACAAGACAAGGATAGAGAGTTGGGAGGATGCAGGAAAGTCTCTGAAAGCTGGCATAAGGAGGTTGACTTTCATTCTAAGTGCAATGGGAAGCCATTGATGGGTTTTAAGTATGGGCATGACATGGCCTAATTTGCATTTAAAAAAATGTACTTCTAGCTGCTGTGTGGGAAATAGATTCTTAAAGTTAGTTGCAGTATTCCATGTGAGAAATGGTGGTAGCTTGGACTGCAGAGGAAGCAATGGAGATGGAGAAATGCAAATGCACTTGGGGTGTGTTCTGAAGGTAGAATTGAAAGGATTTGCACATAGGCTGGATGTGTGGACTGAGGAAAAAAGGAATGAATGCAAGTAAGTTCTTAGGTTTTTGATAGGAGCACCTGGTTGGCTGATGGTGCAGTTTCCAGAGATGGAGAAGGCTGGGGAAGAAGCAAAGTGTTTTTTTTTTTTTTTTTTTTTTTTTTTTTTTTTGTGAGGAGGTGCTGGTGTGTGGGATGAGGTGGTGAAATCAGGGGTTCCCATTTGGCTGTGTGGAGTTTAGGATATTTATTCAACACATAAGATGGAACATGCCTTATCCATTTTTGGGACTGGGATGGGAACTGGTACATTCTAGGTTAGGTCAATAACCATGTTTGGATGAAAGAATGAATGAATGAAGTGGATGGTGGCCTGCTCTGGACCCTCATTTTCATCAGATGCTGCCTTATCACACATAAGGAGTATAGGAAGATGTAGATGAACTCAAAAGGCAACACATTCAAATAAAAATAGATTCAGGTAAATCTGCATTTTGTAAAGGGGTTGCTACTTTTTTTTTGGCTCATAAGTAGTAATTTGGATATATGAATCTGGAATCCTGGGGGACAGGTCAGAATTACTGAGATCAGTTTGGTCGTCTTAGAATACAGTTTTTTAAAAAAGCTATAGAACATCGTGAGGTCCCTTAGGAAGAATGTATAGATAAAGAAGGAATTGGAGGCCGGGAGTGGTGGCTCACACCTGTAATCCCAGCACTTTGGGAGGCTGAGGTGGGCAGATCACATGAGGTCAGGAGTTTGAGACCAGCCTGGCCAACATGGTGAAACCCTGTCTCCACTAAAAACACAAAAATTAGCCGGGCATGGTGGTGCATGCCTTTATTCCCAGCTACTCGGGAGGCTGAGGCAGAAGAATCGCTTGAGCCTGGGAGGTGGAGGTTGCAGTGAGCTGAGATCACACCACTGCACTCCATCTTGGGCAACAGAGTGAGACTCTGTCTCAAAAAAAGAAAAAAAAGAAAAAAAAGAAGAAATTGGGACCTGTAGTAGTGTCCTAATGCTGCTGTAACAAATTTAGTAGCTTAAGACAACACAAATGTATTATTTTATAGCTCTGGATGTCAGAAGTCCCAAATGTGTTTTAATGGGCCGAAATCAAGATGTTGGCAGGGCTGGGCTTCATCTGGACACACTAAGGCAGTATCCTTCTTCTCACTTTTTGAGGCTACCTGCATTCATTGGCTTGTGGCCCCTTCCTCCATATTTAAAGTACATAATTCTCACCTCTGTTTCCATTGTCACATCTTTTTTGTGACTCTGACTCTCCTGTTTCCCTCACAATCATAAAGATGATTGTGATTTCATTGGGTCCACCTGGATAATCCAGGGTTATTTTCCCATCTCCTTAATTATACCCACAAAGTCCCTTTTGCCATGTAAAGTAAAATATTTACATGTTTTGGGGATCAGGAGGTGAACAACTCTAGGGGCCATTATTTTGTCTATGACAAGACCCAAGACTGATTCCTGGAGAGTTCCTAGAAGGCTGAACAGAGAAGCATCCAGCAAAGGAGAAGGAGGGGCCAGTGAGAGAGGAGGAAAACCAGGAGTACATGGTGCCACAGAAGCCAAAGATAGCCAGTTTTAAGAACCAGGGAGTGATCTGCTGCTGATGGCCAGTGCTGCTGGACGGTCAAGCAAAAGCTGACAAAGGAGCTTGGATTTGGCCATAAGGAGATCTTGAGTGACTTGGCACAAGTGGTCTCATTTGAGTGGTCTAAATGGAGGCTGAGAAGTGGCTCAAGGTGAGAATGGG